>NT_187518.1:0-165834 GCF_000001405.40 Homo sapiens | reverse complement strand
GAATTCACTTCCTAACTCCTGTGCTGGAATGTTCACTCTGGCTTCTTGTGAGACCTCTTCATTCTATTTGAACTTACTCTTCCCACAGGAACTCCACAGTTAAACCCCTTTTGGGTTCCTACTCTCTATATATACTATGACACTAACCATGTCTGCTTCTATTTTAGGCAAAATGACTTTACTGTGGATAATTCGGAACTGCAATGGTTTATTTGAAAATCTTAAGATCTGCCTAAAGTGGCTCTTATAGGACTGCTCCCTTCCCATTTCCTTCTTTTTTCCTTCTTTCTTTTACCATCTTAACTTTTTCCATTGAACTCCCCTGACACTTTGATATGCACCTCTTTTCCATTAAACACCCCTGACTTTTGATATATACCCATCCTTTTACCCCTACCAGATGTTTCACTTACCTCTTTAGCCCCTCGACTCCCTATAGTCACTGGAACGTATGCCTCCTGATTCACAGGGGGTTCTCGAGAGACTGATGCACACACAAAGCAACACACGGGGCTTCCTGGAAACAGAGATATAATCTACAGCCTGTGTAAGATTACATTTTAGGTGAAAAACCCACAAATACCCCAAAATATGTTACTAATTAAAATCTGTCCTCACTACCTTAACCAGTGTCTGGGCTTTACCTTTGAAACTGGTGTCCTTATTTAAAAAAAGTTGGACATGCACCCAGGAATATTATCTTTTGAAGATAAAGGAATAGATTGAAGTAATGCTACTTCAAGCCAAGGAATGCCAAAGGTTGTCATCAAACTACCAGAATGCTATGGTACGCATAGCAAATGAATACATCAGCTTTCAACAACATCATCAAAAATTACAAGTCATGGTAGCAGGCAAAAAATATGCTTTAAAAAGAAAAACAAAATTAGAAAAGGACTTGGACATGGCAAGCCAATCATGTGATTTCTTGATGTTTCTTCTGTGTTTTCTGCCTAGAAAAACCCACTGCACTCACTGCTGGGTGGATCTATCTGAACCTCTTATGGCTCTGAGTGCCATCTGAAAAAGATGATGGTTCCCTTTACCTTGAGTCGTTTTCCCCAGATACACTAGAACCCATTATTTCAGTTCTTTTAGGTCTCTTCTGTGCTATTCGATTATCAGAAAAGATTTCAATGACCAATGAATAAAAATGACTGATCTGTCCCTTATGCTGTCTTATTTTTCTTCATAAAATTAACAATCTTGAACATATTTTTTACAATTGTTTCTCTTTTCCACAATATAGTGTCATATTAATAAGATGAGACATTTTGCTCATTTTTATCACTGCTGTGTGCTGAAAGCCTAACACAGTGGTAGCCCCAAAGTAGATGCTCAAAAATAAATATGCTCTGAATGAGTATATTTAGTCATTTCCTGGAAGGAGAGGCTGGGTCAAACAGAGTGCTAAGGACTCAGAATCCTTACTGCTAGAATGACAATGAAATGACAGCATCATGTTAGTGGCACATTTAAAATGAAACAGTATCAATATTGAAAATATTTGTAAGGCTTATTTGAAAAAAGAAAATCATAACACATTTACCTATAATTCAGAAATTTAAATTTCTAGATAATTTCTAAGATTAAGGTTTTTTAATTTCTTAAACTTTTAGATAACCATTTTAAAGAATATATATTGTATATATCTCTGTTATTAAAAAGTAATTGAAAGTAATTACTTCATATTATATTAAGGCATTATAGCTATAAATATGGTGTAAACTGTAATGGTTATTCTGCCCTTTCTTCTCTTGCTACCTCCTGCCATCCTAAGAGAAGTTGCCTTAAGCAGAATTGTCTCATCCCGATCCCCAGAATCACTCTATCCACTCACACATTATCTTTCCCAAGCTTGAGGAAAAAATAACAGAGTGAGAGACGAAGATTATGTATTATTATTGCGACTCTTGGTGTTTGCAAAATTCCAAAATACTGAGATATGGCTAAATAAAATTCTATGCAACTTCTTTTGAATGCATGAATGTATATATTTATGTAAGTTTTATTTTGTTTACATTTTGTTTTGGTAATTAGAGTTTTATTTCCCTTGGTGACAGAACTTTCTGTTGTCTTTCAGATGAGTATATTTTTGATTTTGATTTAAATATAATTTCCCAAAATAAACATTTTTGACTTATACCTATTTTATGTTTTTTATGATGTCAAGTCCATGGCATTTGTTCAGGGCGAGACTTTAATGACTGAACTTCATGATTATCTTTCTACTTGCCAAACACTTCATTTATCTTTCCCATTATTCAAGAGCTGCTATATCCTTGAGTTTGATATTCTTTATCTGGAATTCAATGCAAAGCTCTGCTAAGTGGTCATGATGATCCAAGAGTGGATGTTAGAATTCTAGGATGCCACAGGTCTTTCTCTTTCCATAAATCTTAAAGTCTGTAGGTTTATGAAAGACAGTTTTGTCACAGCCAGTTAGATTCATGGGTTAGCATTGTGGTGTAAGGAGGTGAATATAATGAATGAACTCAGCAATGAACAGGTTTTCTGATGCCAGAAGAAGTTTTCCCTGCGTGTTCTATAGGTCTTGTGCCGTGTATCAAGTATTTCTTCTCTTGATCTACTGTGCAATGGGTATAAGGTTTCAGTGACACAAGATGAAGTCCTAGAGATTGGCTGTGCAGCACCGTGCCTGGAGTTCACAGTACTGAATCGTGCACTGAAAAAGTGTAAGAGGGTAAATTTCCTGTTAAGTGCTCTCACCACACTAAATAAATAAAATTTATCATGAGCCAGGCACTGAACTAAGCTCAGGATATATTATGATGAACAAATTTAGACATGACAAACGATCTCAATAAAACTTAAAATGTTTTGCTACAATAATCACCTGGAAAAAAAAGTCAGTCTTCTCTACAGTATAATGTGGATGGACACAAATGAGTGGTTTTAAGATTATGTTTCCTTCCCTTGTTTTTAAAAAACATTTATAATAAGTAAAATTCTTCAACAAGAGCAAAATCATATCAGTTTCTAGTATCAGTGTTTGCCAAAGACTGCTCTTTAAAATAAAGGGATCACCTCAGTCCAATCTACTTGACATGATCCTACCTTGTCAGACAAGCTAGTCAAGATTTGGAAAAGGCAACTACATTTCAATCCTTTGAAAATCTACATAATCCTAAGCACAGACTTATCAGGATTGGTAATGGGTCAAGTTTAGGGACACGTTACAATTACAATGTAATTTTTGGCTGTAGTTGATCAGCAAGTTTACATCCATATATTCATCCAAGTTGCTCTTCCTCAAAAAAATTAATATGTTGACATTTCTACCTGCAAGATTTGTGATTCATGTTTTAATTATTACAATTTTCATATAACATGTTTTAGAATACCTGATATTGTGGGTGATCTCAATTTCTTCCTGGGTGATCTTTCCTGGTTTAATATTTGTATGATTCCAATGATAAATCTCAGATAATATAAATAGCAAAAAATTAAAATACTGAGAAAATAATATACAACTTATTAGGGGAGAAAGAGGAAGAGATGCTCCCTTAGTGGCACACAGAAGGTGGGATGCCTGGTCTGCTTTTTCTATATTTTTGCATATTTGGGGTTCAGAAAACTGAAACCCATAGAGTCACCATATGCTACATACACTGAACCTAAAGTAATAAGTAGTTCTGAAAGAGAACAGAGGAGAAGAGGGACTCCCTACAGGGATAAATGGTCCAGACTTAAGGTATGGCTTATTTATGCTTTCAACACCCCAGGGACTACAATCCCAGCTGACCAATTAAACTTCGAGAGTTTCAGTGGAGATTTAAGGTCCTGGGATTACTTCTGGAAAAAAATTAAAAAGCTTACCGTGCAATTGGCCCAATACTCAAACCAAAATCTAATGGACAGAAAATATACAATTTACAAACTTGTGCTTTTTTTAAATGTTAATTAAAAATATGTTTATTAAACCCACAGATTTTTTTAGTTGGAAATTTTAAAATTAAATTTGATTAATGAAAAAATAAAATATAAGGAAAAATGACATTTGGAAGCAAAATGAAGAATTTCAGAAGAAAGAAAACATTCAACTAAATGATCTTTTGAACATATTGAATTCAGTTTGCTAGTGTTGAGAATCTTTACATCCATGATCATAAAATAAATTGGCCTGTAATTTTCTTATACCGTCCTTGTCTGACATTGGTGTTAGGGTAATGCATGAAAAAATGTGTTGGAAAGTGCACCCTTTTTAATTGTTTGGAAAAGTTTGAGAATAGCATTAATCTGTCTTTAGATATTTGGTAGCAATCACCAGTAAAAGCATCAAGTCCTGAACTTTTAAGTTTATTATTATTATTATTGGTGATTTAATCTCTGTACTAGTTATTAATTTGTTCAGGTTTATTCTTTCTTCAGGACATACATGTCTAAGAATTTATCCATTTCTTCTACGTTACTCAATTTATTGACATAATTGGTCATGATAATCTCTTATGACCCTTTGTATTTTGGTAGTATTGACTAATTTCTCCTGCTTTACTTATAGTTTTATTTGAGTCATCTCTCTTAGTTTTCTTGGTTTGTCTACCTAAAGGTTTGCCAATTTTCCTCACGTTTTTACAGAACCAACTCCTCGTGTTACTGATCTTTTCTTTTGTCTTTCTTATCTGTTTAATTCTGCTCTAACCTTTATAACTTTCTTCTTTCTTCTAACTTTTGGCTTTTTTCTTCTTTTCTAATTCCCAGAGTGCCAAGTTAGGTTGCTTATTTGGGATCATTTCTCTCTCTGTCTCAGTAGCTATCAGAACTACTTTTGCTGTACCCCATGATTTGGTATGTTATTTGTCCATTTTTGTTTGTCTCAGGATATTTTTAAATTGTCTTTATTTTTGGGTCCATTTGTTGTTTATGAGTGTTGAGAGTGGGGTATTATAATCCCCTACTATTATCATATTGCTGTTTATTTCTTTTTTGTGTTCTGCTCATGTCTGCTCCATCCATTTTGGTGTTCCAATGTTTCCTGGGCCTATATTGAGGCACCCTAACTAATAACACTTTGCACATCAATTCATCTCATTTCTCACAAAAGCAAACAGAACAAAACTGTTCAAACATACATAAGGGAGTCCTAGTTGCTGATACAAACTTTTAGATAGTCTTCCAATCTTTTTATCCTACTTTAATTCTCCAATGATATAATAAACATCCAAGACAAAAAAAATGAAAAAAGCACAAATGATTCCTTCACTGAAATCAGGAGACAAAGGCAATCCATCAACTATAAATTACATGTAAGGAAGGGGAAGAAAGTCACGGACACTCATCAGAATTGGTACAGAAACTCCATATTGGAAGCAGGAAGTCCGGCAGAGAAGAGACCCAGTCAAGGTCACTGGTGGTGGTAATGATAAAAAATACCAGGAAATATTATTCCCCAAGAAGGAGAGGGTCCTCTCACAAGTGTAAACTGCTATACCCAAGCCTGATGAACACGGAGCCAGGTAGCAATCTGAGGATTATTGAAGAGATAGATGCAGGGAGTATACCTGGGAAAGAAGTGGTGGAGATAACAGGACAATCTTGCCTAAACTAAGGGGGTCACCATCCCAGGCATAACCACGAATAGGAAGGTGGTAGAAATGAACATGGAGAAGACAGCAGGAATGCATACAATGAAGCTGTAGGGCTTGAGAAACAAGAATATTCCCCAATGCCTGCAAGCCCTATGCAATCCACCTGGTAACAACTGGAAAGGCAAATCAAATTCTTAAAAATGAAATTAGAAAATGCAACGTCTTTCCAAAAATACTATAGAAAAAAAATAAATCTACCCCAAAATTATTGCCTTAAATCGGAGCTAAATACTGATATAAACTTCAAATACTCTACAACCCCAAATCCTTAATAAAGCAGTTTTATAAATGAGAAAACATTTTAAAACAGAAATATGACGGTTCAGAGAACTGATGACCCACTAAAAAGAGACGACAATCGGCCAACAGAAAGATGTGAAATGGGAATCACCCTGAGTCAGGAGAGAATTTAAAGGGAGTGATGGGGACGAAGCTGAATGGCTGCTCCGTGGCTTGTGAGTGATTGTAAAATAATAAAGATGATGGAGAAAATATAAAAGCAAGTGTAAAGAAATAGTGATAAGCACTAGTGTAAACATATTGGCTACAATTGAATGATGAAGGAAAGGAGAATAGACATATCTTCTGAAATATTTTCTGTTCTTCCTTATGCTAGGAAACTAGTAGATACTGTGTAAAGAGAGGGAAATTAAGGATATTTTAGTCTTATAAAATATGTTTTATGCATAGGTATTTGTACATAATATACACATTTTGTTAAATAGAAAATATTAAATACCACACAATGAAATAATTTTGAAATAAAGGCAAAGAGTTGATTTTGTCTTCTTACTGCAAAGAATTATAAGTATGTGAGGTGATGCATATGTTAATTACCTCAATTTACCCATTCCACACAATATACATATTTTAAAATATCACATTGTACATGATAAATATATACAATTTTATTTGTTCATCACAAAAATTTAAAAATGGCAATTAAAATAAAGGTAATAACAAAGTGTGAGGGAATATGATTAAACTAATGGGGTATATCAATAAACACAATGCATTTAATACACTGAATAAAGAAAAAAAGATTACTATTCTCTCTGCCTGGTGGTCTCTTTTCCGATACGTTGTGACCCATTTCTTCAACTGATTTAGGTCTCTCTTCTCTGCTCTCTTGATTATCAGAGAAGACATCTCTGAGCAGTGAATATAAAACAGTAATTATCTCCTACACACCCTATTTTACTCTTCTTTATAATGTTTATCATTCCTGATAGTTTTTTTGCGATTATTATCTCTTCTCTACCATAGAATGTAAGATCCAGGAGATAAAGCATTTTACCATTTTTATCACTAGTGTCTTTCCAATGCCTAAAATATAGCACCTATTCCAAAACAGACGCTCAAAAATAAATGTTTCTTGAGTCAATGCATTTATTCATTTTTGAGGAGGAGAGATTGGGTTAAACAAGAGGGTTAAAAACTCAGAATAGAATGACAACCAAACGAGAGCATAGTCAGTATTAATACAGAAAATATTTACAAGACCTACTTGAAAGAAGATATAGTTGTAACACATTTTCCATGATTGTTGAGAAATTTATATTTCTGGGTACATTAACTTCTTAGGCAACTAGAGCTTACTTGTTTAATTCTTTAAGCTTAATAAATTTTAAAGTATGGAGTACAATATGCCAAGTGAAACAAGTCAGGCACAGAAAGAAAAATGCAGCATGAGCTCATTTATGTGTAAAATAAATGGAAATTGAGTAAGATAAATAGGGAGTTGAAGGGCAGTTGCCAGAGTCAGGGAAGTAGACAAATTGGGATAATGTAGGTAAAAGAAGACAAAATTACAGTTATGTAACATAAAGATATTTAGAGATCTAATGTACAACAGAAGGACTATAGTTCTATTTTATTATACATTACAAATTTGCTAAGAGAATAACTAGATTATATGTGTTTTTATCACAAAAAAGTAAACTGCAGACAGTGATGGATGTGTTAATTTGCTAGCATGTGGTAATTATTTCACTATAGATATCTACATCAAAACATGTTGTACATCTTGAGTTTATACAATAAAAAAAAAATACTCGATTTAATGACCAATCTGGACTTATTTATTTTAATGTTTATTTAAAATATTTCATGCTGTCTGTGGCCTGGTATTTGGGAGAAAGGGGGATAAAATACTTCAATCAATCATGTCAACACAATTTTTGATGAGAAATTGAAAACTGAATTGTTCAAATTGTTCCAGTTCTCAAGAGGAATGCTTCCAGATTTTACTTGTTTAGTATGATGGTGGCTGTGGGTGTGTCATAGATGGCTCTTATTTTTTTGAGATAAGTTCATTTGGTGCCCAGTATATTGAGGGTTTTTAAGAAGAAAGGATGCTGAATGTTATGAAAAATCATTTTGCTTCTATTGAGATGATCATGTGATTTTTGTATTTAATTATGTTTATGTGGTGAATCACATTTACTGATTTGCACTTGTTGAACCAACCTTGCATCCCAGAAATAAAGCCTACTTGATCGTGGTGAATTCACTTTTTGATGTGCTGCTGGATTTGGTTTGCTGGTATTTCGTGGAGGATTGTGTGTCTATATTCCTCAGGAATGTTGGCCCGAACTTTACTTTTTTTTGTCGTATTTGTGCCTAATTTTGGTATCAGAATGATGCTGGCTTCACAGAATGACTTAGAGAGTATTCCCTTCTCAATTTTTAAAATAATTTCAGAAGATTTTGTACCAACTCTTATTTATATGTCTGGTAGGAGTTGGTTGTTAATCCGTCTGGTCCAGGGCTTGTTTTGGTTGGTAGGTTTTTTTTAATCACTGACTTAATTTCAGAACCCATTATTGGTCTGTTCAGGATTTCAATTTCTTCCTGGCTTAATGTCAGGAGGTTAAATAATCTTGGGTGGAGAAATAGATAAATTCCTTGTTTCGAGGGATTTATATATTTCTTCTAGGTTTTCTAGTTTGTCTGCAGAGAGGTGTTCATAATAGTCCCTTAGGGTTTTTTGTACTTCTATGTAGTTGGTTGTATTTCAACTTTGTCATTCCTGAATTTATTAAGCATATGAAAATAATAAACTATAAAGGAATAAAGAAAATAGATTTAGAAGAAAAGAAAGTGTTCAAGGAAATTAAAAAGCATATTGAATCATAATTTTATACTTTAAATTGTTTTATCTGTGAATATAACATTTTATCATATACTATACATGAAGATAAACAGATACTTCGTGCAGTTGGTAACCGAAAGATAGCCAGAGTGGCTATGTTAATGTGAGACAAAGTGAGTTTATGACAAAAATTTTTATAAGTAAAAAAAAAATCGTATACTGTTTGGGATCATTTGTGTATCTTCCTTGGAGAATGTAATATAGATCTTTAGATATAAAAATTGTAAACATGAATGAATGTAACAGAGACCCAAAATATATGAAGCCAAGGTGGACAGAATTAAAGGAAGAAATAAACAGTTCTGTACTTATAGTTCAATACTTAAATGTCCATTTTCAATAATGCATAGTGCACTTAGACAGAATGTTAATATAGTAGTAAGTGACTAGAACAGCACTATAAACCAAATGACCTAATATATATGTGGAGAATACTGAAATAGCAGAGTATAGATGCTTCTCAAGTACTAATAACACATTCTCCAGGATAAATTGCCAAAAACAAATAAGACTAAATTTTAAAAGATTTAATTCAAAGTATCTTTTCCAATCAATGAAATAAAACTGGAAATCTGAAATAGAGGGAGAACTACAAAAGTTACACATATGTGGGGATTAAACACCACACTGTGAAGCACCGGTGGGTCAAAAAAGAAATTGGAAATGAAGTTAGAAAATATATTCAGATGACTTAAAACATAACAAAACATATAGGATGCAGCTAAAGCAACTCTTAGAAGGAAAATTTTAGCTAGATTGCCTATACTCAAAAAAAGAAGAAACATCTAAAAACAATAATATATTTTTACACCTTAAGGAACTAGAAAAAGAAGAGCAGACTCAATACAAAGCAAACAGAAGGAAAAAAAAGTATTGGAATAGAGATTAATAAAATGCAGAATAGAAAAAACAATTTGACTATTTCGAGCTTTCAAAAGATCAACAAAATATAGAAAACTTTAGGTAAACTTACCAAAGAGAGAAAGAGAGAAGTCTTACATCATGAATACATAAATATGAATATAACATGGGTACATAACAACTAGCCTTTCAGAAACACAAGCAATTATAAGAGAATATTACAAATAATTGAATACTAACTAGATACCTTCAGTGAGATGAAAACCAAATCCTGGAAACACAGAAACTACCAACACTTACTCAAGAAGAAACTTAAAGTAGTGTTAAACAACACACTGAAAATTACAAAGCACTGCTAATAGCAAATAAAACATAAACTGATGAAACAACATCGCATGTTAATGGATTGGGAGACTTGTGGTTAAGATAATACAACCAAAATATATCCACAGGTTCAATACAATGCCTATAAAAATTCCATGCCTTTTTTTTTTTTTTGCAAGAGTAGAAAACACTAAAAATCATATGAAATTACGAGCGACTGCAAAATCCAAAACAACCTTGAATAGAAAAACAAAGTTGGAAGATTTACACTTCCTGAGTACAAAATTTGCCAAAAAGATACACTAATTTTAAAAGCCTGATAACAGAATAAGGATATATGCATAAATAAATAGAAGACAATTGAGAATCTAATGAGAAATACACGCATGTGTCTATGGTCAATAATCATCTGACAAGTGTGCCACGTCCATTCAATGGGAAAAGAATACTCACTTTAACAAATTGTGCTCAGACAAGAAGATATCCACAAACAAAAGAATGAAGTGGCATTACAAATCATACTTAAACTCAAATTGATCAGGGACCTAAACATAAGAAGTAAAATTATAAAAATATGAGAAAAGATGAAGTTAAATATTCAAGACCTTAAGTTTAGCATTTTTTTTAGCATGATACCGAAAGAACGAGCAATAAGAAAATAAATAATTGGACCTCATCTAACTTCAAAATTTTTGTGCTTCAAAGGTCTCAATCAAAAAAGTGAAAAGAGAGGAGAGTGGGAAAGCTGGCAGAACGGAATTCTTTAACAATTGTATCCCCATAGAAACATCAATTTTAATAACTATTCTTACACTACATACCTTCACAAAAGCTAGTAAAGCCATGTGAGAGATCATTGTACCTAGTTATACTATTTTCTTCTTGTGATAAAATAATAAACATTGAAGAGGGCAGGAAGGAGAGTTCTGATTACCTGCATTTCTTATCCCCAACCTCAGACAGCACAGTGCAGGGAGAGATACCAAACACTTGGGGAATAAAAAGGGAAGTAAGTGTGGGACTTGGTCTTGGTGCCCAACACTAGGCCCACTACAGAAAAACTGAAAACCAGGCAGCCCCCACAACCACTGACTCCAGGCCAGTACACAAAGACCGAGCCTCCAGATCTACACCAACACTAGGCAGAAACCATGCAAAGCAGAATTAATTTGCAGTCATCATCACTGCCACCCACCCAGAGTGGCCTTAAGCTCTGGAAAGTATCCACTGGCAGGCAGGCCTCAGTGAACATGGGCTTCAGACTTGCATCAGTGCTGCACCAGCCCCAGTGGCCACAGGATATCATCTGGGACCCACACCAGTTCCAGTGGCCATGGGATTACAGCACTGCACTGCACCAGTCGTGGCAGTCCCAGGCTTAGGGCACCACCTAGGGCTGCCCCCACCACAGCAAACTAGAGCTTAGGGACCACACCAGACAACCTGCTCAGAATCTCTAGACAGGCTTACTATTGAAGAATGTTTCAGGATAAAACAAGTCTGCAAAGACTGGAATAAGTACCTATTATATTAGATGCATGACTGCAGACGCAAGAGAAATCAAGGAAGCATACATCACCAAGCAAACAAATGGAGATGCATAAACTACCTGACAAAGCATTTGAAATAACAGTCTTAGGGAAGCTCAGCAAACTTCAAGAAAATACACAGAAACTATTCAAACAAACGATAAAAATAATATGACCACAATGATAAACTTAGCAAATATTGGAATAACTTAAAAATCAAACAAATTCTAAAGCTGCAAAATATAATGAACAAAATGTAAACTGCAGTTGAGACCATCAACAGCAGAATGGATCAAGCCAATGAATCTGTGAACTCAAATACAGGTTATATGAAAATAGAGAAGAGAAAAGAATGAAAAATAATAAAGGAAACATGAGATTTACTGGACAGCAACAAAACAGCAAATTTTTGAGTCATTGGAGATAAGGGAGTTGAAATGATAAAGGAGTAGAAAGCTTATATGAAGAAATAATAGAAAACTTTTCAAACCTGGAAAAAGATATAAATAACCAGGTACAGTGAGGTAAAAAGTAACCAATCAGATTCAATCCAAACAAAACTACCCCTAAGACATATTATAATCAAACCACCAAAAATTGAAGGGAAGCTTCTCTGTATTGGTGGAAGGTAGGTAGGGCTTTTCTAGCCCCTACTTCCACTCTATCCCCTGAGTTCCACCTGCACTGACTCGAGGAAGAGTAAGCATCTAGAGCTAGTGAGAATGGGAGGAACTTACAAAGTCAAGAGAGAAGCCTATTGTTCCTTGCTCACCCACAGATTACGTACTATTACTCAAGGCTTGCTGTATTTATTATAGAAGAGAAAATCTTCTTGTATTATATATCAGCTGAGTTATTGCTTATCTGAGAATCACCAGAAGTTTCCACCCGAGACAGGATAAGAGAATAGAGCCAACATGTTGGGATTTCCAGAGCAATCAAGAGAAAAGAAAATCTATTGTGTTATTATTGCCCCTGAGAAATCACACTTTTGTCTTTCCTAGGAAGCTGATGCTTACAACAATGGAGATTAGCAATACCTGGACAGAGTTGAGCTTCAAAGGATACTGAGAAATGGCTAAAGCAGGTAAAAAGAGAGAAGACTGGAACTTTGTCTATGCTTATCATCTAGCTTCAAGGAGAAACACAGTTGAGTTCAGCCATTTTGAAACAATGGTTAGAAACTAGATAAAAAGTTCTTAAGCTTTTCATTATTTATTTATTTATTTATTTTTGAGACAGAGTCTTGCTCTGTGTCCCAGGCTGCAGTGCAGTGGTGAGATCTCTGCTCACTGCAACCTCCGCCTCCCGGGCTCAAGTGATTCTCCCACATCAGCCTCCCAAGTAGCTGGGGTTGCAGGTACCTACCACCGTGCCTGGCTAAGTTTTCTATTTTTAGTAGAGAAAGGGCTTCACGATGTTGGCCAGGCTGGTTTCAAACTCCTGACCTTAAATGATCTGCCAGCCTAGGCCTCTCAAAGTGCTGGGATTACAGGCATGAGCCCCCGCACCCAGCCCTTAAGCTTTTTATGAGCAAATTAATATTTCAAATTAAATTGAACCAAATGGTTTTCTCATACGATGGAGCAACATTCCTCATGCTGGAAAATGAGATGCTCCTGAAGTCTTTGCATCTTGGCCCTCTACCGTTGTTTTCCACATTGATATTTATGTGTTCTGTTTAGAGACTTGATGTGTTCCCAGAACTTTCTGAAGAGCCCCACCACATCCTTGTTTCTCAGGATGTAGATGAGGGGGTTTAGCATGGGGGTGAGTACAGTGCAAAATACAGACACAGCTTGTTTCTGCTCAGGGATGTGGGAGAAACCCTGTGTCACGTATATTAAACACACAGTTCCTAAGTAAAGACCACGGAAAGATGGGAGGAGCAGTTGGCCAAAGCTTTGTTCCTACTTTAGGGGGATTTCATATGGAGGACTGTAAGGAAGATGAGGTATGAGAGGCCACAAGTCCAAGATGAAATGGATAAGAAGTAGAGAGCCACAGGCCAAGATCAAATGGGTAAAAAGTAGAGAGCCTGCATTTGAACCAGGTAGTCTGACTCAGGGTCCACACATCATCTCAATCATGGATGACTACCACAGACAGCTTGTTCCTTTCTCATCCCCATATTCTGGCTTCTCTCTTGCCATGTACACCTCCCCTTAGTCTCCATACCTGGGGCCACCTGCCCCCACAATCCTGTTCCCATAATATCTCACCTTGAATGAAGAGCTAAGCCAGGAAGGAAGCATCTGAAATAGTGTTGAAGAAAAGCTGAAGTGAGTGGAGAAGGACATCACTTTGTGTCCTTTATTTCTGTTGGCCAATGCCTGTCTCCCGGTCTAGACCCTACCACCTACAGGTGAGGCCTCAAGCACAGCTCATCTCTGCACTGTCTCCATGTAGAACCAATGTCCCTGCTCAGATTAGATATATGAAATCCCCTAGTTGTAGATGTGGGGGCCTATGGAAATGAACCTCTCATAAACTGCTGAAGGGTACAAATTAACACAGCTTGAGAGAAATGGCCTGGAGTGAGCTTCACTTCACACTAGGCCAGGACCACATTATTACTCCCAACAAAATAGTTTGTTTATAATCCTTTTCGTGGACTCCAGAAGAGGAAGATGGCAGATAGGAGGCAGGACTAACTTGCAGCTCCCACTTGGATGGACAGAGCAGCATGTGGAGATTCACGCTGTGAACTTTTGCTCCAAGAACTACCATAGGACATACCAGGAAAGCCAAGAGAATCCAAAGACCCTTTGAAGGAGGTGGCGGCCACTGTAGGCTCCGTGCCAAAGACTGAGTGCCAAAATGTGTGAAAGTGTAAAAGGGGGATGCTCCACCCCCAAGCACAGATCCTCACTGGGGAACCTGACGGTCCACATGGTGGGAAAAGGATTTAATCTTACGCGGAGCTAAGAGGAATTTAGAGAGCCAAGCAAAATATTCGAGTAGAGGAAACAACAAGAAGAGCCCTGTGGGAAACCATTTCGGACTTTGTCTTGCAGGGGTCCTTTGGGAGGGCTGCCAGTGGAATTGGGGAAAGACTACAAGGAGAAGCAAGCTTTCAGATGAATTTTGTAATAATCTTGACTAACGTGAAGCTTCCTGGACAGAACCTGGGGGAGGGGGCAAACTGGGAGTGCAGATACAAGCTCAGAAGCTGAGGCAGGCAGAGAGGCATGAAACCTAAAAGCCCTGCTTGCTTTCTTCATGAGGGGCTTGTAGCCTGGGGCAAGTTCTCAGCCCTGCTCACCAGCTGCCTGGAAAAAACTCAGTGCTACTGGGGGCACAAGGTGGGAGTGAGACTGGCCTTTTGGGCTGCCTGGGAGCTGAGTGAAGCATGTAACTGCCCGTTCCCCCCCTTCTCTGGTGACCTGCATGACCCAGCAGAGGCACTCATAATCCCCGTGGAAACATAACTCCATCAGTCTGAGGACCACACCCCAATCCCACACAGCAGCCACACAGCAAGCCCCGCCCAAGGAGAGTCTCAGCTCAGACACGCCTAACACTGCCCCCACCTCTTGGCCTTTCTCTACCCACCCTGGGAGCCAAAGACAAAGGACATAATCTCATGGGAGCTCTGAGGCCCGGCCCATTGCCTGAGAAATCTGGATACTTATCCAGGTAACCCTAAGGCAAGCTCGTATCTTCCCTACACTACTGCAGCTGATGCAACTCTTGAAAGAATCAACTGCTGGCTGGAGACCAACCAGCAAACTTATCAAAAATACAGCCAAGGACCCTCACAGAGTCCACTTCACTCCCCTGCTCCCTCCACCACAGCATGTGCTGGTATCCATGGCTGAGAGACCTGAAGACAGATCATACCACAAGACTCTTTGCAGACACTCTCCGGTACCAGCCAGTACCAGAGCACAGTAGCTTCGCTGGGTGGTTAGATGTGGAAGAGAAATAACAATCTCTGCACTTTGTTTCTCAGGAACCCCCATCCCTAGAAGAAGGGGTAGAGCACCACATCAAGGGAGCACCCCATGGGACAAAAGAATCTCAACAGCAGCCCTTTAGCCCCAGAACTTCCCTCTCACATAGTCTACCCAAATGAGAAAAATCCAGGAAAACCATTCTGAAAATATGACAAAACAAGGTTTTCTGACACCCCCAAAGATCACACTAGCTCACCAGCAATGGATTCAAACAAAGGAGAAATTTCTGAATTGCCAGAAAAAGAATTAAGAAGGTCAATTATTAAGCTACTCAACAAAGTACCAGAGAAAGGTGAATACCAACTTAAATTTAAAAATGTGTTACAGGACATGAATGGAAAAATCTCCGGAGAAACAGATAGCATAAATAAAAAACAATCACAACTGCTGGAAATCAAGAACACACTAGAAAAATGCAAAATACACTGGAAAATCTCAGAAATAGAATCAAACAAGTAGAAGAAACAAGTTCAGAGCTTGAAGACAAGGCTATTGAACTAACCGAATCCAGCAAAGACAATTAAAAAACACACCTTTAACTGTGTTTTCTTATACTTCGGGCTTTTTGTAGGTTAATGACTTTTCTTAATTCCTAAGTACCATCTGAGTAATTAGTCACATGGTTATAAAGAATATCAAATGTCAGACTAAATTCTTTTCAAGCTTCCCTCAGCAGCTTAAAGTTGAAACTTTTTCATTCCTTCTTCTATAATCTTGGGTATTTGAAATGGGTATTCTCCCACTTGAACATAGGCAAAATCTAATTTCTTGTCTCTACCCTATGGAATCTCGTTTAGTAATTATTTCTAAACTTATCCTGATGCCATGCATCGTTGGTTTGTTATAAGTATATCTAAAGGAGTACACAACATTTACTAAAGAAACACATTCCCCGTGTGATGTGTCCTGATAAGAAAAATGACCTCCAAATTTACATTCCTGTACAGGTATGATGATTTCACTCTACCATACTTTATTTTATACCCATCTATTGTTTCTTCCAGAAATATACATAACTGGAGTCATAGCCAAAACTTGTATTGCCTGGGCCTATTTGAGCATAAACAGCAGGTATTAGACCTAAATAGGGGGTCTTCTGCCAACTTGGGTGTGTTAGGAAACATGAACAATATTCAAAATGGCCTGCAGGACTCCAGTTTCAAAGTGAAAGATACCATGTCCATCCAAGACATTGCAGTTTGCCTTTCCCTGATGATTAGTGATGTTGAGCACTTTGTCATATACGTGCTAGCCATTTGTATGTCTTCTTTTGAAATATGTTTTTTGATGTCTTTTGCCCATTTTTTAAATCAAATTATTTGTGGGATAATTTTGGTACTCAGTTACTTGAGTTCTTTATATATTCTGGATATGAACCCCTTGTCAAATGCATTGTTGGCAAATCTTTTCTCCCACTCGTATGTTATCTATTCACTCTGTGAATTGTTTTCGTTATTGTGAAGAACCTTTCAGTATGATGTAATCTCATTTTTTAATTTTTTAATTTTTCCCTGTGATTTTGAGGTTCTACTTTAAAAATTCTTGCCCAGATCAATGTAGTGATGATGCATTCTGCCTGTGTTTTCTACCAGAAGTTTTACAGTTTAAGATCTGATATTAAAGTCTTTAATCCAATTTGAGTTTAAAATAGTGAAATAAGTGTCTAGTTTCATTCTGTATTTGGATATGCATTTTTTGCATCACCATTTATTGAGGAAGTAGTGCTTTTCTTGGTGTATGTTCTTTTCAACTTGGTCAAACATCAGTTGACTATAAATGAGTGAATTTATATCTGGACTCTCAGGGGTTCTCTTCTGTTTGTGTGTCTGCTTTTATGCCAGTACCATTCTCTTTTGATGTTTAATAGCTTGTAGTATATCGGGTAGTATGATGCCTACATATTCATTCATTTTGCTCAGAATTGCATTGGCTATTTGGAGTCTTTTTTGCTTCCATATGAACTTTAGGATTGTTTTTTTCTATCTCTGAAGAATATCTTTTGTATTCGGATAGTGATTGCCTTAATTCTGTAGCTCTCTTTTGGTAGATGGACATTTTAATGATATCAATTCTTCTAATCCACGAACATGGGGAATCTTTCCATTTATTTGTGATCTCTTCAATTTCTTTCATTAGAGTTGTATAGTTTTTCTTGAAGAGATCTTTTACTTTGGCTAAATTTATTCCTAGTTATTTTGTATTTACTTTAGTTTTTGTAAATGGGATTGCCTTATTTCTCTTTCAGATTGCTCACTGTTGGCATATATAAATGCTAATTTTGTATGTTGATTTTGTATCTTGCAAATTTACTGAATTCATTTATCAGTTCTCACAGTTTTTGCTGGTGTCATTAGGATTTTTTTAATATATGACCATGTCATCTGTAAACAGGGAAAATTTCAGTTCCTTCTTTCCAATTTGGAGGCCTTTGTTTCCTTCTTTTACCTAATTGCTCTAAGACCAGACACAGCTTCTCTTTTTTCTCTCCTGAATTCATGGGAATTCAGGATGTTATTGTTTTTGAATAGTTTCCAGTTCTATTTTTGTGGGTGTGGATGAATGATGCTGGAGGATCTTCTATTCATCTATCTTGTTGCTATAACTCCTCTCTATGAGTCTTTCTTAACTTTTTAAAGATACAGTTTGCTGTTAGAGTATAGAAACTCCAATTTCTGTCTGTTGATTTCCTGAAACTTTCCTGAATTTGTTAGGGAATAGTTTTTGTTGAAGGCTTTATGTTTTTTTATATGTAATATTACTTTATTAACAAACAGAAACATGTCACTTCTTCCTTTCCTATTTACATTTCTATTTATTTTTCTTCCCTAATTGCTTTAGCTGGGACTTTCAGTGCTATGTTACATAAAAGTGGCAAGAGTGACCGTTCTGGTCTTTTGCTGGATCTTAGAGAAAAAGCTTTCAACATTTCATCATTAAGTATTATGTCAGCTGTAGGCTTATCATATATGGCCTTTGTTATGGTGAGATACATTCCTTGTATACCTAATTTGTTGAGAGTTTTGGAATTTTGTCAAATGCTTCTCTCCACCTAAATAATCATAAAATTGTATCATTCATTCTGTTACTGTGCTATGTGATGTTTATTAATTGGCATCTGTTGAAGCATCCTTGCATCCCTGGGATGAATCCCATTTTATCATGATGAATGCTTTTTGAAATGTGCTTTTAAATTCAGTTTTCTAGCATTTTTTGAGGAATTTTACATCCATGTTCCCAAATGATATTGACCTGTAGTTCCTTTTTCATTCCCATGTCCTTCTCTGGCTTTGGTATTAGGATAATTCTGGCCTTGTATAATGAATTTGAAAGTATTCCCACTTCTTCAATTTTTTGGAAGTGTTTGAGAATAATTGGTATTAGTTCTTTAAATTTTTGATAGAATTTTGCAATGAGTCCATATTGTCCTGGGCTTTTTTTTTTTTTTTTCTGGTGGGAGACTTTTATTACTACTTCACTGCATTATTCATTATTGGTTTGCTAAGATTTACTATCGTAGGATTTATGTATCAGTCAATTCATGTCTTCCAGCTTATCTAATTTTTGACATGCAATTATTCATTATACTTTCATAATCTTTTGTATTTCTGTGGCCTCAGTTGTAATATATCCTTTGTAAATTTCTGATTTGAACCTTCTTAGTCTAGTTTATTTTGTTTTTTCACAAAACAACTCATCTGATGTTTTGCATTGTTTTTATCATTTTTTTATTTCTCCTCTAATCAATATTAATGTATCTACTAATTTTGAGTTTAGCTTATTCTTGTTTTTCTAGTTAATTAAGGTACAATATTACCTTTCCTTATTTGAAGTCTTTCTTCTTTATTGATGTAGCCATTCATTGCTATAAACTATAAACTTCCTCTTTGAACTGCTTTTGCTGTGTCCTGTAGGTTTTGGTATGTTGAGTTTTCCATTTTTATTTGTCTCAAACAACCTTTTATTTTCCCTTTTAATTTTTTCATTGACCCATCTATTGTTTAGGAGCATATTATTTAATCACCATTTATTTGTAAACTTTCTGAGAATTCTTGCATTCGTTTATAAACTGCTGTGATCAGAAAAGATGATTGATATTATTTTGAACTTCTTATCTTTAAGACTTTTTTGTGGTCAAACATGTGATCTAACCTAGAAAATGTTTCATGTGCAATCGAGTATAATGTGTATTCTGCAGCTACTGAATAAAATGTTTTGCATATGCTTTTTAGGTCCATTGCCCTAGAGTGCAACTTGAAGCTGTTATTTCATTGTTTACCTCCTGTCTGGATAGTCTTTCCATGGCTGAAAGAGGGGTGTTGAAGTTTCTTAGTATTATTTTATTGCTATCTATCCCCTTAGATCTATTAATACTTTATGTATTTAGGTTAATGTTTCATACATAGTCACAATTATTATATACTTTTTGTTGAATTGACTTTTTAATCATTATATATGATCTTCTTTGTCTCTTTCTACAGTTCTGGACTTCAGTCTATTTTATCTGATATAAGCATAGCTACTCCTGCTCTTTTCTGGTTACGACTTGCATGGGATATCCTTTTCAACCACTTCACTTCGTCTGCATATGTCCTTGCAGGTTAAAGTAACCTGTTGTAGTTGGCATTTTTTATACATTCTGCCACCAGATATCTTTTGATTGGATAATTTAATACATTTACATTTAAGATAATTTTTGATACATAGGGACTTAATGCTACAATTTTGTTAGTTTTCCAGTTGTTTTCTAGAGACTTTGTTCTTTTCTTCCATTCTTACTATCTTCTTTTACGGTTAAATGATGTTTTTTCTAGTGGTATGCATTGATTCCTTGTTTTTTAAAAATTTTTGTATGTCTACTACAGGTTTTTGCTTTGTAGTTACCACGAGACTTACCAACATATTATAACAGGTTATTTTAGGCAGCTAACAATTTTTAGCACAATAAAGCTCTACAAAAATCATTTTTCATGAAATTTTGCTACATTTCCTTTCACAAGGATGTTTTAAAGATAACCATCAAATGTGTCTATAATTATAATCCAGCAAATTGAGAGTTGACAAATGCTCTTTAATTCATACAAAGTTAGAGTATGCATTTTATATTGTCTGAGTTCAGGAAAAATATTAAAAACTAGTTCTCTCATATTTTTCCAAAGCACTACAGAATCTTTATATTATAGTCATAAAATAATTGAGTGTGGTGAGAGAAAAGAAGAATGTGTACTGTTGAAAACACCTGATTATTCGCAAGTTGTACATAGCCAATTAGGAAGTTATAGCATGCAGCTACCACATGTATGCTTTTAGGTAACAGGTTCAGCAGGCCCCACCTCAAATGCCCTCCTATCAGCCTATTCTCGGGTAAAGGCATGGTCGACTCCACTTAGATCAACATCATTTAGATTACCATTCTCATGTACCTGGTCTCTATGTTTTTGGTCTTGCACATCTCCAATTGATCACCACACAAATAACATTTCTAAAATACAAATCTGATCATTTCACTATTGTTTGTAAAACCCTGGGCCACACAAGGGCAAGAAATAAGCCTAACATGAAATAAGAAAGATCTACTGGGCATTGATCTCTCTCGCTTGCTCAGCCCTGTCTTTGCTCATGCTGTGCCTTTTCCCTTGCAGCGTGTCTCAGCAAGTTCCCCTGGCTCCAACATCACACACTCATCTGAGGGTAACTTTTCGTCACTATTCAGCACTGAGCCCCGGAGTCTCCTCTCAGCTCCTTGTTTGAACTCAGATGTCACAGATAGAATTAGTGTGTCCTTATGAGCTGCACCCTTCACACGAGTATCAAAACAGCTTATTTATTTTCTTACATTTGTTTGCATAAACAACTACATGTATTTTTCAAACTCCTTGGTAAAAGCCATGTGCTATTCAAAATTTAATCTTATTTAACTATTTTTAATTATAAAATAGTACAAAATGCTTGTTAAATAAATGAAGGATTGAATGTTGATGCCATCCCTCTGCTTGTTTGTATAACAAGTTACATGTTTGAAATCTCAGCTCAGGAATCACCCTGGGCAGGTAACCTTCCTTAAAACTCCTTCCACTCAGGTGTCATATTTTTTCTGCAGTCACTTATGTGGTCCTACATCCTCAATACACCACATGGCAGTAATTATTTCGGAGAGATAAATCCACTAGACGCCATCAGAATTGGACCATGCAGAAAAATGTAGCCCTCAATAAAGAAGGGGCGATGACTGGATTTTCTTGGTAATGATTAGATATAATGAAATGAGCATGATTTCTAAGATGTCACACTGCCACCAAGCAGAAAGGAGAATATTTTCAAAAAGGGAGAAAAGCCTGGTATTTAATTATTTGTAAATGATTTCAACTTCACAAAAATCATTAAAAAACAATAGTACAATTAATACCTATATACCCTTTACCCATACTCATGTGTGGCAGCAACATTGAACTCAGTTTGTTTCATTGCCCCTCTCTATCTCCCTCCCTCTTTCCCTCTCATCATTTGAACACCTCATGACCTTTTTGTCTCTAAATATTAAGTATTTCCTGAGGTTAAGAATATTTTTTCACAAAATTAGAGAACAGTTATCAACTTCCAAAAATGTTACATTAGTATAACACAATTGTAAAAGAATTTTGGATGGACAAAGACTATAAAATAGAGTTTCCACACAGTGAAAGAATTCCTCAAAATGAGATGAATATGAGATGAGGCATCATTGTATGAGAGTCTAAGGAATAACAGGGATAAAATCCTAAGTATCTGATGGGTAGAGAAAAGGAAAATAAATCTTTATATCCAAATTTCCTACTTTATAATTTCCTAAAGGACGAATCTCACAGTTAACATTTTCTTCAGAGCCCCCATGACATCCTTATTCCTAAGACTATAGATTAAAGGGTTCAGCACCGGAGTGAGGATGGTATAGAAGACAGATACCATCATGTCCTTCTCAGGGGTGTGGTAGGAGCTGGGGAGCATGTAGGTGTAGACGGCAGCCCCATAGAAGAGGATGACCACAGTCAGGTGGGAGGAGCAGGTGGCAAAGGCCTTTTTCCGGCCCTCTGCTGAGTTCATCCTGTGGACGGTGAGGAGGATGAGTAAATAGGAGCTTGAAATGATCGTCACAGGGATGAGGAGCATGAGGACACAGCATAGGTACATGAGGGTCTCATAGAGTGAGGTGTCTGAGCAGGACAGGATCGTTACAGCAGGGACTTCACAGAAGAAATGATGAATCTCCCAGGATCTGCAGAAGGGGAAGCTCATGGTGATGGGAGTGAGCATGAAGCCATCCACTGAGCCCAGGAACCAGCAGCCCGATGCCAGGAAAAGACAGACCCTATGGTTCATGAGGACAGGGTAACGGAGAGGATGGCAGATGGCCACGTAGCGGTCATAGGCCATGGTGGCTAGAAGGAAAAATTCCGAACCTGCTAGTGTCAGATAGAGGAACATCTGCATCCCACACTCAGGGGCTGAGACCTTATTCACACCCATGACCTGGTCCAGGAGCATCTTGGGCACAGTGACAGAAATGTACGCCATGTCCATGAGAGACAATTGACTGATGAAAAAGTACATGGGGCTGTGGAGGTGGGCGTCACAGTGTATCAGAAGGATCAGGACAGCATTTCCAGACAACGCCTTCAGGAAAACCACAAAGATGACCACACTAAGTAGAGCTGGATGTTTGGATCGTCTGAAGAGTCCCATGAGGATGAAATCCAACTTTCCAGTGTGGTTGGCCATCCTGGTGATGTTGGCCATGAGGTTTCACCTAGGCCACCAAGGAGAGTTTTGGAGTCAGTGTAACGCGTCCCTTTGTAATGAGTGTTTCGTGAGTACTCACATTTGTGTATGCTCATTGTGCTAACCTGAGTCCCGTGGGTCTGGGGATTTGAGTATATAAATGACATATAACAAATTCACAAAACAAACTAAGAATTCACAACTATAGGCCAGAAGAATTGGTAACTGATAGTAAGGTTGTCACGGTTCAAATTCATAAACTTTCCTGATGATAATGCCATTTATCAACAAGTACTGAAAATTTGCAGAACCTCCCTCCTCTGCTAACACAAACAGTGACTCATTGAAAGAAAGATAAAGCAAACTCCTTATTGTAGAGTTTTTGTCATAGACAGCTGAATTGAATCAACATCGCTGGTTTAAGAAACAATAGGCATCTTCAAAATACTCAGAGGTATATATGATATAAGAAAGATTTAGCAAGTAACTAAAGCGTAACTTGGAAAAAAAATTATGCCAGATGTTTGAACCTCCTCCTCCCATAGGATCAGGCCATGCTGTGAGGCTCTGTGATTGCGTGGAGCGAGCCTCACATTCTCATGAGCAGGGAAGGGTCCTCACACACAGCTGACCCTTTAGACATCGAGAGACGTGAAGTGAGGAGCCCACACACAGTAGACTCCAGCTATGGGTCCACCTTTTTCTCTGTCTGCCATTCCTTTCTCCAATCTACATCAAAAAGGATAAAAATCATGTTTGAGCTCAGGTGTGGTGAGGGTAAAATGAGGAAATGTAATGAAAGTGCTTAGAATAGTACAGTTTCCGATGAATAAACACATATACTCTTAGTGTAGATGTTAACTCTTTAAGCTAACTATTCTGCACAACCTAAGAGATTGTTGCTACTATTATTATATAAGATATATTACTTCCATTCTCCAGATTCAGTACCTATTCATACATTTAAGAAGCTGACTTTCAAAATAAAAATGGCAGAAGTTCTGCAAAATAAAGCATATGACCCACTTTAAAAAAAAACAATTTGGATTTTATATTTGTGTGTTTATGTGTAAATACTCTGGTTTTATATAAATATATATAATATATTTATGTAAACATACACAGGTGAATATATAACTATAACATTTCTTATTTTAACCCTGGTTATGCAGAGCTTTTTGGAGACTCCTATGTCCTTCCTGCCTAGTATGTGGTCCTCCAACCTCATCTCCTTAAAGCTCCTCTCATTTTAAAGCTCATTAAATCTCAGCGAGGAAGAACTAGAATTTGGAGGGTCACTGCTGTTTATCAGACAAGGCTTTAGTTGTTTTTGCAAACCTCATGTGCTTTATTACTTGCCACAATCAATCTTTCATACAAACTGAGAAGCAGGGAGGAAAATCAAACAACACTGAGGCATCTGACTTCAACTCACTGTTTCTCCCTCTACCGTGACACTCACAGCCTGTGTTATACTGACGATGAATCGCCTCTGACTTCAACTCACTGTTTCCTTCTCTATCATGATACTCACAGCCTCTGTGTTATATGCAGAAGATGAATCAAAGAAAAATTGAACTTGAGTGCACTTAAGGAGGTCACAGTCAGTCTATTCAGGGAACAACTATTATGTAAATGTGATTTGAAGTTGAATTTTTAAATAGTTACAAAATAAATAAGGGCAATAGACACAAAATATATCTGGCCGTTCTGAAATAATCCATAATAGCTGTTTCCACATTTTCTCTGAAAGAAATTAAAACTTTCCAACTTTTCAACTTCTGACATATTAAATGTTAAATTTTGAGAGCCCTTGCCAAGAATAAGGACATAATAACTCCTCTTTCTGGGAAGACTTTAGCTGTGATTATGATGCAGGGACATTTTGGAATGAATTTACAAGTTTCAAATATATTTTGTATTCTTGTAGTAATTACAAAAAGTATTTAAGACATTCAACTCACCAAAACTTCCAACATTCTGGGATGCTTCGGTGCTTTAATATAAATATCCAACAAATCTGAGACACATTTTATGTACATATGTATATATATGAATAGATGATGATGATAGATAGATAGATAGATAATGTGTATCAAACACTACCCCTACTGGCAAATGGTGGCTGAGATCTGTGTACAATTTAAAAACATTCCAATAAACTGCAAAACACACCTGCTGACCTCGTCCATTATTTGTGGCCAAAGTGAAGCAAGGACCAGAGGAGCGACCAGCACATGTGAAGACCTAAAAGGTGTTTGCTCAGTAAATTGAGGGGGAGCAGGAGGGCAGGGAGATGCGGGGTTTCCTAAGAAATCTCTGCTGCTCTTTAGGAAATGGCCATCACTATCATTAAGCCACTATCATTAAGCCACTATCAACAGCTCAACCAGGACACGGGACAGATAAGGGAACACTATCCACACACAGTGAACTGGCCCCCTGTTCATTCTTCTTCTGTACCCGCTTGTTTGACTTTCATGTAAATTGCTTAATGCATGTTTAACTTGGGGATTTATTGTAAGTATAAATGGAGTCAAATCTTTATTTGAAGCATACAGCATCCCAGGAATTGTTCTAATACTAATACTAAAATTAATACTTTACATTTCTTCTTTCCCAAGAGCCTATGAGTTACTTCCTATTATTTTCTCTCTTTACATATTAAAAAATGCAGGTTCTCAGGGTACCTGCCTAATATCACACACCTAACCTGAGATAGAACGCACGTCTCAGCCCGAGAGAGAGAGCCAGCGCACGTAACTCTGCCTGATTCCTCTCAGGGACACCATCCTCCCTCTGCAGTCTACACTTTGGATTTAGGCCACTGTCTGTGGGTTTCATCAAAGAAACATAAAATGATTGAGACATTGTTTCTAGTGTTTTGTAACCCTCAGAAATCATCCCCTCTCAAAAGAAAATCAGTCACTTTTCCTCTATAAAACTTCAGTGACAGGAAAATAAATACATCATTGTATGAAAATCTAAAACTATAGAATATATATTATTATGTCCATAAATAATTGGAAATTAAAAATCTATTTACCATTATGTCACAGTAAATAAGTGTTGTATAGAAGTTATAAGAAAGAATAACATTTGCTTTTCTCCATTAAAAACAGATGATAAAGAAAAAATGAGGAAATGCTGTGAAGAACTAATAGAACGTTTCAGAAGCAGAACAAGTCGAGAGCAGTGATGACCCTTTTCTTCCTGCTAGTACCTCCTGTCTGTCTGGCTGAACTCACCATCAGATGATGTCTTGAACCTCACCTAGATGGGCTGGTGGTGTGTGGCCAGGTTAAGAGCACCAACAGGAGTAAGAAAGTGACCTGCCTGGTTTTACCGTGTGCACTAGGGGAGGGGTTGAAAGCTTTCGGTTGATACATCACCTCTGGGAGTTGAAGAAGAATGCAATTAAGAGAGCTAAAGAAGTCAGTAGGTATCTCTCCTGAACAATTCTGGTTTTCTTCTAATAGCTTTTACAATTTTTACCTCTGTTATGAAATGCAAACTTTTAACCAATATTAGTAATAGTAATCTCAAATCTCATCATCATCAAAATCTTATTTATGAAATGTAGGAGTTAGTTCATATACAGCCTTAGCCTTTTCCACATTATAAAATATATTCCATATATATGTGTGATCTTCATTTAATATTCAAGTAAATGTTGTAAGATATTGTTATTTTTATTCTAACATTTCACAGGTATAGAATCTGAAACTCAGAGGTCAACTGATGTGTCAAAGATACCTCCACAAATCAGTACCTTGATTAAAACTAAAATTGGAGTCATCTTCATATCTTCATCTTTCTCCCTCTTCATTAGGACCGATTGTAGTCTGTTTCCCTCTCACTCACTTGCAATCTTTATTGCTTTAGTGTTGCATTTGATTTTTATCTTTGTTTTTGTTTTAAATACTGTCATTAAAGTCATAGAAAAATCTAAAGTAAAACTGGTTGAA
Organism: Homo sapiens; assembly: GCF_000001405.40. Classification (NCBI taxonomy): domain Eukaryota; kingdom Metazoa; phylum Chordata; class Mammalia; order Primates; family Hominidae; genus Homo; species Homo sapiens. Next base: position 138,678 of record NT_187518.1, on the reverse strand, counting down.
TAAAAATTTTAAAATCGACTCTAATGTAATAAACCAGACAAAAATGATACTTTACATGTTATATCTTCCCTTTAAACTACAAATATTCATTGAGTGTATACCCTGTATTAGGCTGTTGGAATAAAACAGGGAAGAAGACAGAAGAAACTGCACCGCCATCTTAGATCTTGCAGCCAAATTCCTCTGAACTTTTCTCTAAAGACGTGCTCTGGAAAAATGTTGATCATTTTCCTACATCATGGAGGTCTTTTCATGACCACCTTTGTCTAGACAATGTCCTGTTTTTAGGTGCACGTTTGAGGGCTGGAGTCTCTGACCCACAGTGCTGCAGCCTGCACGTGGTTTGTCCTGACTTCTTTGCTACTTCACTTTTCGTAAGGCTCTGAGAGTGCAGGCCCTTGTGGGTGGACACTGCAGGGTGAGAGGAAGAAGTAAACTACTTTTTTCCGTTTCTGATGGGGGTGTGGGTCAGCAGCTATAAGCAACAGGGACCATGGGGGGCCTCAGACTTCAGCACCTGAGAGGCAGTTTCAGTCGTATTGGGGAGATGCAGGCATCTGGGTTGCTGCACATCACCAGGGCAGGGTTCTCTCAGCAGCCCTGGAGTGCAGAGTTCCCATCAGCTCAGCAGTGAGGGGCACATGGGGCTCCAGTGGTGAGGACTCTTGGTCCTTGGATGACAACACTCCCCTGCCCACTTCTCCAGCCTTCCCTGTAACCCTTTGCCACCTCTAACCAATCTTCTGTGTTACATCTCTTCGGTTTGCAATATGTAGTGTTCGTATATGACTGGACAGTATCTACTGGAGTTAATATCTATCAGAGTAATTATATCACAATTGCAATCTTCTCCTAAGAGTGAATAGTGACATTAAAAATTTCAACATTATAAATTATGCAGAAATAAAACTAATTATACAAAAAATACACTCTGAATGTCAGTTTTTCCCTGAGACAATCTACCATTTGATATACGGTGATTCACACTTCTTAATATACAACATTGAATTACTTTTCCAAAAGCCTCTTCAAATTTTGCTGCAGAATTAAACTTCACTTGCACCAGCTCTGAATTATGTGTGCTTTTCCTTCTTGGTCAATTTCATAGGTGTATCATTATTTGTCTTTTTTAATTAATATGTTTATATAACTTTTCATGTTTATCCATGTAACTACTGCTTCTATTGAAATGTTTTCTTCATAAATATAAATGTGTTTTTGGTATGAAAATAATAACTGGCCAGATGCGGTGGCTCACACCTGTAATCCCAGCACTTTGAGAGGCCGAGGTGGGTGGATCACCTGGGGTCAGGAGTTCGGGACCAGCCTGGCCAGCATGGTGAAACCCCATCTCTACTAAAACTACAAAATTAGCTGGTGTGGTAGCACGTGCCTGTAATCCAAGCTACTTGGGAGGCTGAGACAGGAGACTCAGTCAAACCTAGGAGGCAGAAGTTGCAGTGAGCCAAGATCACGCTATTGCACTCCAGCCTGGGCAAAAAGAGTGAAACTCTGTCTCAAAAAGAAAAGAAAAAAAATAGTAACTCTTTGTGAATAGTATCAACTAAAATATTTTTATTTCAGTTTCATTCTGATATTTTGTGTCATCAGAATTTTTTAAAGTATTTTGTTTAATATATTAACTTTAATAATTTCGTTAACTGTTTTGTGCTTACAAAGTCTTTATGCATTTGGGGATTATGTAAAGCATCTACCTTTACACTTTTAATGAGTTTCAGAGGTTTTTTTGGTACCTTTGAGTTATAATACAAAAATAATTTATTTGGGTGTGATATGCAGTGAATTGCTAACATTATTGCTTTTAAGTTAAAATTAAATTCCAATGTTGAATGGTATTTTCTTTTATTCATTAATTTCAAAAATAATTAGTAACTGTTTGTTCCAGGCACTATCTAGGTTTATGATGTTTGAAACAAAGATTCTTCCCACACAGCATTTATATACTAGTGGTAAATACAGGCAATAAACTAATAAATATGTAATGAAATGTCAAGTATTAATAATCACAGTAAATAAAAAATAAAGGCAGAGAGATGAGATAGGAATGATTAGCGAATCTATTTAACACAGGCTAGTTAGGAGCCCTTTATTTAGAAGGTGAAATTTCATCAGATCCGTAAATGAAACAATGGAGTCACTCGTAAACAACGGGGCAGAGATGCTTTAAGCAGAGGAAACAGAGAAAGTTAAAAGCTGTGAGACTGAAAGTAACTTGCAACGTTTGAACAGCAGCAAGAAGATCTGTGGCCCCAGACTGAGGTGAGAAAGTTGGCAAAACAGAAAATGGGGTTAGAAGTGGAACCAAGGAACCGGTCCTATAAAATCATGATGGTCCTGAGAAGGACCAGGGACAGGCAGAGGTGTGTTTAAGAAAGGGAAGACAAAAGTATACACGGCACTCAAGAGAGTGCATGTGCACTTAGAAAAAGAAAGGAAGTCTCAGCCAATGTTTGGCCCCTGTCTTCTAAGAACTCTTCAGGAAGTTTACCAGGCATGCTCACAGTCTGTTCTGACTGTAGCCTGGCTTCCCCTCCCCACCCCACCCCACCATACAACTCCCAGCAACAGACAGCACTCAGAGAATCTCCAGAGAGTGAAGGGCCCCAAAGCTTTGACTCTCCTTGCTTCTCGGTGAATCCCACTCTGAGATATCACTGGAGGACGGACAGAGAGGAAAGACATTTGGAACAGGTATATGATTATCACTGAGAAGGCTTGAGCGAGAATGCAGGAAAGGGTTTGAGCTAGTCCTGATGAGACATATGGTGTCTGGGCAAGGGGTGTGGTGGAGGAGGTGAAGTTGGATTGCCGTTTATACACACAGGAATATTGGGGCTGGGCAGGTTGGCATGGAACGCTGAAACTGAAATTTGGGACTCCAGTTGCCCAGTACACATCTACATGAAGATGATGCAAGGCTAGTGTATACACGAATCCAGAGGTCATAAGAGAAGGCAGTCCTGAAATCATGGTTTTGAGAACCAGGGTGTGTGGAGGAAACAACGGGATCACACAAGGAAGGAGGGTCAACATCTTATACCAGAAGCCAGTGCAGGGGAGGCTAGGTTTCCACATTATCTCTTCTTTTCCATTGGTCTTTCACTGAATTCCTTTAAAATATCTTGTTTTATTGGGTGTCCCCTCATGATAATTTTAAACAACTAGTGAAACAATTCTTGTCTTCATGTATGTTCATGTTCAAAATAAGCAAGTTTTTAAGTTTGTTTTTCCTTTCAGTTGATCTATTTGGCTAGGTTCAAAAGTTCTAACTAATTGTATTGATTAGAATACAATGAAATACATTTGGGAAGAATTGATATTGTTAAAATGTTGCAGATTTTTATAAACAAGCACAATAGGTCTCACAGAGATATCCAAATACTTAGAGGTCGGGTCTGGATTTTAAAGTAATTTTAATAAAATTCTTCCACAATAATTGAGATTCTGAGATTTTTATAATTTAATTTTTTGGAGAATATTTTTCATTTAAAAATACTTAAAAAGCATTAACAGTGACAGAAAAGCTATTGATATATATTTTTTCAACATTAATATTTATGGTGGAAACCCTGCTTAAAGTTCTACTTTTTTTACATTTTAAATGTAAACTGAGAAAATATTTATAAAAACAAAAATAACATTTTAAGAATTAAACTATAAATATATAAAACATGTCAAACATTTTGTAAATGATCCTGAAGGCACCATCAGAGATATAAAGAAATGCAAGATACATGCACAGAACAAAGGAAGAGGGGCCACCACCTTTATGGACTGGAGGTCAGGATATCAAGCCAAAGAGGACCTCAAGTCCTGAAATCTAACGAAACTTGCCCTGCCAGGCTCAAGTTTGCTTTGGCTCTAAGACTTCTATTTAACTTCCAATTTCTCTTTTTCAGAATAGGAATGTCTATCCTATATGTGAGTGTCACTGTTGCATTTTGACAGCAGATAACTTGCTGTCTGGTGTCACAGGTTTTAAATTAACTTATTGAGTAAAATCTAAGTTGAATAATGTGCTAGAGAAATATTCTTAATACAAAGAGATTAAAAACATTAGCAAGATGGTTGAAGAGGAGCTCCTATAATCGTATCCCCTCAAAGCAGCAATAATATAGCAGCCTGTCTGGCACAAAAGTCCCTTGGTGGGAACTTCTGGATCTTGACAGGAAGTGTCAAAACTGGTGAATCCCAACACTGAAGAGAGCTATTTTGAGAAGGCAGGGCCACACCCAGGTGGCAGGCTCACTGACTGTGGTCCTGGCTACAGACACAGAATTAACATCCCTCTGGACTCAGCTAGTGCCCTGTTTGGCATTGGTCCTGCCACCTGAACCATCTGCCAAGGGGCCCAGGGGCACTCACATTGACCAGTACCCTCAAGTCACAGGCCTGCTAACCTTAGTTCTAGCTCTGAACCCTGAAGCAGTCCATGACCCAGCTCCAGTCCCCCTCAGCCATGGTCTGGGAATAGACCTTCCTGCACAGAGACCTGCCAGGAGGCAACCCTGTTCATGTGCCTAGAGGCAGGCTCTCAAAACTACGTCCGACTGCCAATCTTGAAGCAGCTCTGTTACTTGGCACCCTTTTCCATTGTTCAAAAGCAGTCCTGCCCACTCAGTGACCTCCTGGGTGACACATTGATCGATGCCCCTGTAAACAAGACTGCTGACATCAGTCAGCTGGAGATCCTGAATCAGCCCTCTTATCCAGCTCCAGCTTCCATTCAACCACAGCTTGGGGATATCTTATATCTTATATTTACAGGGACTATGCAGGAGGTACACCCATCCATGCAGGACAGAAGACCTCAGACTCAGCTGTGGTCCATGACACAGCCCTGAGACTCAGTTCCAGGTCCTCTCAACTGTGGTCTGGGGACAATCCTTCTTGCCCAGAGACTTTCCCACCAATATAATGGGAGTCCTTCAAGGGACTCAATAGAATCCACACCCATTTCTGTACGTGGTAACAGGCATGCCATCTACAGAACCAAATGTGAACCCTGAAGCAGAGTGTCCTAGCGATAGCCCTATTGACCAAGGTACTAGAGGCAGTCTTCTCTACCAAGAGACCAGACAGGATTTATACTCAACTCGACTTCTGGTAACAAGCTTGCCAACTAAAAATTCTGCTGTAGACTCAGGAGTAGCCACATGACATGGCTCTAACCCTGCTCAACTGCAGTCCTGGAGGTAATTCTTATTAGCCTAGAGAAATGACAGGAGAATGTCTTTACCTACTGAAACCAGTCTATGCAGACCAGAAGAGCTGTTTGCAACTTCAAATGTGCACACATCAATGCATAGCTACTTGAGTCACAAAAAAATCAGGCAAATGTGACACCAAAGTAATAAATACCACCAAAGTAATAAAGCTTCATTAAGCAACCCCAAGGAAATGGAAATCTATGAATTGCCTAAGAATTTTAAAATCATATTAAATAGGATCAAAGAGCTTCAAAATAACAGAGATCTAAAACTAATAAAAAAATGCATAAACAAAATGAGAAATATAATAAAGACATTGACATCAAAAAAGGAAAGAATTCTTGTGCTGAGAAGATTTGTAGTCAAATTTGGAACACTCTAGTACTGTAATGGAGGTGTGTAAATCTCGTTAACTTTAGTGTAAAGCTTGTAAAATATTCTGAATACAATTATGGAAGTGAAAAGGTCAACAGAGTACTTTGACAACATATTTCATCATACAGTGAAAGGAGGCAATGAACTTGAATTTAGATCATACAGTTAGAGGAACAAAAAAAATAAAATGTAGAAGCATCTGGGAACTATAAGACAACATCAAGCAAATATATATGTGTATTATGACATTCACAGAAGGAGAAAAAAACAAAGCTAAAATGACAACATTTCCTAAATTTGTGAGTGATAGAGACATGCAGATTCATAAAGTTCAAAGGAACCCAAGCAAGAACAAACCAAAACATTATACCTGAGACATATTATGATCAGTTTGTCAAAAGTCAAAGACAATTCTATAATTTGGAAAAATATGGATGAGCCCAGAGGACAATATTTTAAATAAAATAAGCCTGGTATAGGACAAATATTGCACAATTTCATTTATATGTGAAGTGTCCAATAGTCAAACACATAGAAACAAAGAGTAAAATGGTGGTTACCAGAGTTTGGAGTGAGGAAGGAAAAGAGAAGATGTGGGTCAAAGGATACAAAATTTTATTTAAGCAGGAGAAATAAGTTCAGGAGGTTTATGGTACATCATGCTGACTACAGTTTCAACAATTATATACTTGAAAATTGCTAAGAAAGTAGGTATAAGAGTACTCAGCACATGAAATGATTACTTGAACCCAGGAGGCGGAGGTTGCAGTGAGCCGAGGTCATGCCACTGCACTCCAGCCTGGGCAACAGAGTAAGACTTCGTCTAAAAAAAAAAAAAAAAAAAAAAAAAAAATCTCCCAAGAAAAGCCTAGGACTAGAAGACTTCATGGTGAATTCATCCAAGCACTTAAAGAACTAACACATATCCTCCTCTGATTTTTTCAAAACATTGAAGGGCAAAAACACTTCCAAATTCATTTACTGAAGCCAACATTACCTTTAAACCAAAGCCAGATAAGAACACTAACTCCCAAAATATTATAGGTCAATATTCCTGAAAAACAGCTTTCATAATTTTTGGTAAAAACTAACAAAATACTAACAAGCCAAATTAAGCAGTGCATTAAAAGGATACTTCACCATAATCAAGTGGGATTATTCCTAGGATGTATAAACCAAAAGTATGTGAGACAGGTCTCAATCAGATTGAAAGTTTATTTCACCAAGGTAAAGGACATGCTTGGAAAAAAGAACACAATTACAGAAACAGTCTGTGGTCTGTGCTTTTCTTTAAAGATAATTTTGAGGACTTTAATATTTAAAGGGGAAAGCAGGCTAGAGGGGAAAGAGGGAGAGTATGATAATCCACAGGTTGCAAGAAGAAAAGAAGCAAAGAAGCAGGTAGGTGAATAGTCATTTATGTATTCCTTTCACACTCAGTAGAAGGATCATCGCTTTACGTCAGGTAAGGAGAATGTGGAGTTACTGCCTGTTACTCTAACCTTTCATCTGTAGTTAACTGATTAGGAACAAAAAGAAAACAAAAACCAAAGGAAATGCAGTTTCTTGCATAACTCAGCTTTCAGCTTAGTATCTTTTTTCCTTTTGGCATAGTAAATTGGGGTCCCAAGTTTTTTTCCCACAGATGCAAAGATGGTTCAACATACACCAATCAATAAATATGATATGCCACATTAACAGAATAAATGACAAAAACAATTGTGCATCTCAATAGACATAGAAAGAGCATTGGATAAAATTCGACATCTTTTCATGATGAGAACTCAGCAGATTTGTTATAGAAGGAATGTGCCTTTACATAATAAATCTCACAGCTAAATCATACTCGATGGAGAGAAAGATTTTCCGCTAAGATCAGGAACAAGACAAGAGTGCTCACTCTCACTGCTTCTATTCAACATAATACCAGAAACTAGCCAGAGCAATTAGGCAATAAAAAGAAAGAAAAGGCTTTCAAATCAGAGGACGTTAAATTATCTTGCCATCTGTTTGCAGATGACATGATTTTACATATAAAAAACTCAAGACTCCAGCAAAATCCCATCAGAGTTAAAGAATTCAAGAAACTTGCAGGATACAAAATAAACATATATAAATGAGTTGTATTTCTATACACCAAAAAGGAACCATCCAAATATGTAATTAAGAAAAGAATACCATTCCCAATACCATCCAATAGAATAAAATACATAGGAATAAATACAGCTGAGGGAGTGAAAGATCTGTTCACTAAAGAGGAGATAAATAAGTGGGAAGATATCTCATGTTAATGGGTTAGAATAACTAATATTCTTTAAATGTCCATATTACTCCAGAAAATGTCTGATTCAGTATAACCCCAACTAAAATCCACAGGCATTTTTTACATAAATAGAATAAAACCATTCTAGAAATTTTGTGAATGCACAAAAATATCAAATAGCCAAAGCAATATTGATAAAAAGAACAAAGCTGGAGGCTTCAGACTCCGATTTCAAACTATATTACAAATTATAGAAATAAAGCCATGCTTATATGGTCAATTAGTCTTTGATGAGGGTGCCAAAAATGCAGCATGAAGAAAGGATAGTCTGTTCAATAAATGGCATTGGGAAAACCAGATACATACATGCAGAGGAACGAAATTGGACTCTTATCCTACACTATTCCCCCAAAACCAAATCTAAATGGATCGAAGACTTAAATGGAAGACCTGGACTTGTAAAAGTCCTAGATGATGACATAGGGAAACAGCTCTTTGACATTGATCTTGGCCGTGATATTTTTGATATGACACAAAAATTAAGGCAACAAAAGCAAAATAAGCAAGTAGGACTGCATCAACATGCAAAAACTTTTGCACAGAAAAGGAAACAATAAAATGAAAAGGTAATCTCTGCAATGGGAGAACATATCTGCAAACCATATTTTGGATAAGGAGTTAGCATCCAAAATATAAAAGAAACTGACAAAATCATTAGCAAATATCAAATTACCCAACTTAAAAATGGTAAAGACAGTGTGAATAGGCATTTTTCCAAAGAGGCAATACAAATAGCCAACAGGTGAATGAAAAGATGTTCAACATCACTAATCATCAGGGCCACACAAATCAAAACCACAATGAGATATCAGCTCACACCTGCTAGGATGGCTATTACCAGGCAATACATAGCAAGTGCTGTCAAGTGTGTGTAGGAAATGGAACACTTGTACATGTGCATTGCTGGTAGAAACGTAAGTTGCAACAGCCTGTGTTGAAAGCTGTATGACAGTTCTATAAAGATTAAAAATAGAGCTACTCTATAATTCAGCAATCCCACTCTGTACACCTTCCTGAGGTAAATAATTATATAAATAATATAATGACAACATAAGAACATTGTTAAATTAGTCATCTGTGGTGTCCATTTGAGCAGTTTTGCCCATTTATTTAATTACAGCAATTTCTGAAACCAAATTTTACCTACCTCTAACAACCCCCTCTTACAAGTGATATTTCTGCACCACTTGGTGGAATTTACTTCCAAATTCAGATCTCTGTACACAAACTCAGACAAACTCCTTTCATGCACTGCAGGAATAATTTTCAGTGAGAAGCAAAAGTGTTCGGTCGATGTGTCATGTAAAGCAAGTACTTGTCATTTCTCTCGAAGATGCGATAGGCATGGGAACACCTGGCTTCCATTCATTGTCGGTAAATCAGGCAAGGTCAGGGCTGTGCCAAGGGGAAGTAAATTAACAGCTTCACGATACAGCTCGAGATTCAGCTTCTTGCATATTAGAACAAATGTATTTCTTTCCTAATTTCTCACGTTCCAGAAATACTAGACCCATGAATTATTTTGTTAATGAAAATGATAGTGATCTGATGCTCATAGATTTACAGAAGTTACCTTTGTAGCATGATATACATCTGGCAAACTAAAGGTTAGTGACAAGTTTATAACCATTTTGCTGGTTTTCCCAGTTTCAGAAGAAACATGCTGAGGGGGTTAAGCTTTCCTAAGTCTCCATTATCGCACGCGACTGTTATGATATTTATTGTAAACATAGTAGACCATTGTCTGGAATAGACTAAATCCTAAAGAAACTAAATCTGGAACTACTTTTATTTACATACTATGAAATAGATGAACCTATTCTTTGAATTTTGAAATGGATTCATTTTTGGTTTAGGTGGTTCCAATGGCCAATGCTAAAACTACTGGTGTTTACACTACAAAGTTCACTTCAGCCTTTGGAGAAAATGCGTTTCTTTGTACTTACTGAGATACAATAGCAGAAACACTGACCCCAGTGGCTGCCAATGTGAACCGAGGTTTACAATGTATTGCAAAGGGAGGGAGCAGCCAATACTCCTCCTCTAGGGCTCTGCTAGGATTCTAAGTCTTTACAATGAGTCTCTTCGAGGGGTAAAGTGTTTAAGACCAAGTCTCATACTAAAATGCTCAATGAACCTGGGATGGGAGATAAGATAAAAGGCACTCTATAAGGTCTTTCATAGGTCAGCTACTGCAGTGCAGTTAAAAACACTCTAAAGATATTAAATCTAATGAGATAAATGGGAGCAATAAGCAGTATGGAGGGAAAACGCCACGTATAAGAAAGAAGGAAAATATGAGTGGGCTTTGTGCTGGGGACCCGGAGACCTGAGGGCAAAAGAGAGGAGAGATAGGGAGTAACGGAATTATAGAAAGAGGAGGGGACAATGCTTGCCCTTTACTACTTTTCTTGGTTCATTCTTGACTGCATCATGCTCCTCAGAGCCCTGGTGACATCTTTGTTGCGGAGACTGTAAATGAGGGGGTTCAGCACAGGAGTGAAGATGGTGTAAAAGGCAGACACCATCATGTCCTGCTCAGCTGTGTGGTAGGAACTCGGGAGCATGTAGGTGTAGAAGGAAGCACCGAAGAGCAGCAGCACTATGATCATGTGGGAGGAGCAGGTGGCCAAGGCCTTCCTGTGGCCGGCGGCAGAATTCATCCTGTGGATGAGATGCAGGATGAGGGTGTATGAGCTGGAGATGACCATGATGGGGGCGAGAAGCATGAGGATGCAGCACAGGTACATGAGCGTCTTATAGAGGGAGACGTCAGAGCAGGAGAGCTTCAGCAGGGCAGGAGTCTCACAGAAAAAACTCAGGATTTTCCTAGACTGGCAAAAGGGGAAGCTCATGGTAATGGGGGTGAGCAACAAACCATCAACCATTCCCAAAACCCAGCAGGCTGACACCAGGAGCTGGCACACCCTCTGGTTCATCAGCAGTGGGTAATGGAGAGGTCTGCAAACAGCAGCATATCGGTCATAGGCCATGGCAGCCAGGAGGAAAACCTCAGCTCCAGCCAGGGTCAGGTAGAAGAACATCTGGATCCCACAGCCTGACGGGGAAATGGTATCATCTCCAGTGACCTGGCCCACAAGCATCTTGGGCACAGTCACGCATAGGTACATGAGATCCATGAGCGCGAGCTGGCTGATGAAGAAGTACATGGGGGTGTGGAGGCGGGGCTCTGAGTGGATGAGGAGGATGAGGAGGGCATTCCCAGTGAGGGCCATCAAGAAAAGAAGGAAGGTCACGGTGTAGAGGAGGGCAGCATGCTTGCTCTCAGCAAAGAGTCCCGTGAGGGTGAAATCAGTGCTTGCTGTTTGATTCTGAGAAGTCTGATTCCCTGAGCACATGACTGGCTCAGTTTCCCCCTGAGGAAAAAAAAGTCATTAATTTTAAATCTTTCCTATGTACATGGCTTTCCTGACCTTTTTCTGGTAAGACATGTGCTTTGAATTATTTTTCTAAATATTGATTTAAACTGACATAAAATCATAAGTTCAAATCTTAGGTCAAGTTGTATCTTGGCCACAAGCTAAAGTGAACTACGAAACAGATCTGGGGAGGTGACTATTCATGAGCTAAGTCAAGAGTGAAGACAGGTACACTCTATGTCTTATTTCCCCCCAGAATTAAGAACACAAGTATACTGGCCTTGTGGGATGGTTAGAGACTGAAGTAGGGAATGCACGTTAGGTCTGTAACACAGTGTTAGTGTTGGGTTGAAATTTTCACTACTTTTTGGATACAGTAGCTCATCCAGGACTCAGTGATGGAAATCACGGCTGATAAGGTTAATATTAATATTGTTAATGGTACAAATATCATAACTAATACCATGAAATAATCTGAAAACTGGAAATCTCCTTAAATTTCTTCTACCATTATATATCTCCATTTAAGTCCACTTTCCTCACGAAAACTTTTCAATTTATTCTGCTATTCCTCACAAGGTTGCATTCCATAAGTAGTGCTGACTGGGGCAGAGGAGCAGAGGGAGAGTCCCGCCTGCCTGAGGAGAGTAGCTTGGGGTGCAGAACTAGTGCCGAGCAGGAGAGCAGCAGTAGGCACAGTGAGCCCTCTCCCAGTCCCCAGTGAAATCTAAGGCATTTAATTTATTAACTGTCAGGCAGAGAAATATTTTTACAAGAAATCACAGCAATAAATGCTGCAGATGCCCTAAATATCAAGTATTTAGTTGAAATATAAACAAAATATTTATTTTCATTTTGCTGATACCATTTATCCCCCAAAAATCATGCCTAAAATGTCCAAAATTCCGTTCATAGTGATTGAAAAATGAAGTTAAAGCACATGAGGCAGTTGTGTTGAATCTTTCATAAAACCGCAGCCCTGCAACCAAGCCTAGGGATCCTCTTGTCCTGCATCTCCTTTGCATAACAAACTAATCACCATCCCCTCCCATAAATTCATAGCTTTGCTCAGTGACTGCTTTGTCTGAATATTTCAGTTTTAATTTTCCAGTTGCATTGTTTTAATCATGCTTGATACAATTGTCTCAAAGTTAAAAAGCCCACTAACTTCTAGACTAATGAAGAGTCAGGAGCTCCATGACTGAGGTTTGGTCATCCTCAGGGTTGCTGTACTGCAGGTTAGAGAAATAATGCTGAGGAAAAAACTAATAGTGACTGAGGCATGTGGAAATGCAAAGTGAAATACAACGCACTGTTCCTAGGGCAAAAAAACAAAAAAACAAAACAAAAACAAAGCACACACACAAAACAAGAGACAAAACAAAAAAAAACCCTGGGACTTCAGGAAACCTAAAGTCAGAATTATGAAGAGCTAGCAACAAGAGTCAGGTATCTTTGTTCCTTACTTATCCCCTTTATAAAGCACTGAAGAGACAGGTCATCAAGACACCTTTCAACAAAGAGACGAACACGGCACATAGAGCACAAACCTTTTGCTCCATCTTTTCTGTTCCATCAGACAATAAATCTAAGCCACGCCAGCTCAGTGAAGCTGCTTTCACCATTCTAAGGCCAAAGCAAAGGGGTTTAAATTCAGAATGAAAATGAGAAAATTACATCGTCAGTTTCTTCACATTAGGGAATTGAGATGAGTGTTTATTGCTTAATTCTTTGCCTTGTTTTCCTTTTTTTTTTTTTTTTTCCTTCTTATTCATCTTTCCTGTACTTGGCATTGTCTCTTTCCTGGAGCTTCTATTTTCTTTAAGACCCTCTCAGAATCCACTATTTTGGTATTTTTGTTTTCTTTTGCTATTTGTTTTTGATGGTTATATTCTAACTTTCCACTCACGGTCCACGTGGGAATTAAACATGTTTTTCATTTATGCGATGCATCTATCCAAAAGCAAATCCATCTTTCTCATGACGTTGCACATTTTTTAAACAACTTCATTTTTCTAGTTTAAAATTATATTTTCATATCAGACATTTAAAATAAGCTCTCTTTGTAAAAGCAAATCTGAATTTCACAAAGGGAGGATCATGCAAAACCAGTGTCAGAAGTCTGTAAACTAAATTTAAAATCCTAAGACCCCTAATCAACTGAACAGACCCCCTCTAGGCCACGAGAATCTCAGGAAAGCTGAAAAGCTTAATTGCAGGACATAAGAAGGGAGACACACTTCATTACACCCATCTTTTGGAATTTAGGCACAACTGACCAGCAATAACATTGAAATAGAGTTCCTAAGACTGACAAAACAGACTGAGTGGCAATAAGATACCAAATTCCAACCTGACTCTGGTATAGCATCACATGACAGATAGCAGACCCTGAGGAAAATCAAAATATTCCACCCCAAAGTATGTATTTGACATATTTTGAAATGGCCCTACAAAGCCATCTTTCGTGGGGAAAAGTTGCATCTGTAGACACTCTCCATTAACACAGCTGGGGCTTTCCCAGATTCAGGAGAAAATATCGGAGTCTGACAACCTTTTAGGTTCTAAAACATTTACCATTTATTATATTTGCTTCCAATTAATTGTGTAATCTTAGTCAAGACACTAAAAGCTCTGAGTGTCACTTTCTCAGAATCAAAAGGAGTGTTATGTACTTGCTATGCTTCTGTGACTCTTAAGACATCTATGAATCTGATGACCGAATGTGGTCTAAGATTTCTCCATGACAGGGTGACCTTCTCCCACATCGCCCCTCTCCTTAAAGGCTCAGAGACTTCCCTTGAAATATTAGTCTCATCGAATTTAGATTATATAATTTGGGAATGAAAGAGAATGGGAAAAGGGAGCCACTTTTCTCAGTGCCTGCAAGGTTCCGAGACTTTGCTGAGTCTTTCTAGCATGACAAACGTACAAGTACTGAGTAGTGTATTCATCCCTGTGTACAGTCATCCCTCACTATCTGTCCTCAGTACCAGGACATCGTGAAAATACCAAAATCCATGATGCTAAAGACCCTAATATGAAATGGCAGAGTATTTCTATATAACCTACACAAATCTTCCCGTATGCTTGAAATCATGTCTAGATTACTTATAACAACTAATGCAATATGAATGCTATGTAAATAGCTGTTATACTATATTTTTTAGGAAATAATGACAAGGAAAAAAGTCTGGAGGATGGAGCAAGATGGCAGAATAGAAGGTTCCACTGATCATCCCCCTGCAAGAACACCAATTTAAAAACTATCTACACAAAAAACACCTTCTCAAGAACCAAAACTCAGGTGAGCACTCACAGTACATGGAGTTAAATTCATATTTCTGAATGAGGCATTGAAGAAGTTGGAAAAACAGTATTGCATCACTGACACTACCACCCCTTCATCCCCCAGCAGCGGTGGTGTGGTATGGAGAGCTTCTCTGTGCACTAAGGAGAGGGAGAGCCAGCAATTCTAAGACACTGAGCTCAGCGATGCCCTTCTTATAGCAGAAAGAAGACCCAGACCAAATTCAGCTGACACCCACCATGAAGGGCGCATTTAAACCAGCCATTGCTGGAAGGGAATTGCGAATCCCAGTGTTTGGAACTTGAGTTACCCAAGCCTCACCATGAAGGGCTAAAGTGGCTCTGGAGCCACAGACAAACCTGAAGGGCAGTCTAGGCCACAAGAGCTGCAAATCCTAATGCTAATCTGGGCCCAGAGCCAGTGGACTCGGGGGACACATGACCTGTTAAAACACCAGCCAGGGCAGCTAAACTCATCCCCTAACCTCAGCCTCCACGGCTTGTGGCTCCAAAAGAGGCCTCTTTCCTCTGCTTTAGGAGAGGAGAGGGAAGAGTGAGGAGGACTTTGTCTTGCATCTTGGATACCAGCTCAGCCACATCAGGGTTGGATACCAGCTAGAGTCATGAGGGCCTTGGGTGAAACTCTGAGGCATGCTGGCTCCGGGTGAGACTCAGCATATTACCAGCTATGGTGGCTATGGGGCAAGACTCCTTCTGCTTGAGGAAAGTGGACAGAAAATTAAAGAAAATTAAGAGAGACTTAGTCTTGCACTTTAGTGCAACTATTGTTACCATTGTTATTCAACATATTACTGGAAGTTCTAGCTAGAGCAATCAGACAAGAGAAACAAATATAAATAAATCTATCTATATGTAAATATATCTATATATATAGATAGATATAGATATAGAGATATAGATATAGCATCAAATTTCAAAGAAAAGTAAAATTATCTTCGTTCACAGATGATAGGACCTTATACTTGGAAAAACCTAAAGTCTCCCCAAAAACCTATTAGAACTAATAAATTCAGGAAAGTTGCAGGATACAAGGCAGATTTCTATATGTCAATAGCAAATAGATTAAAACAAATTTAAAAAGTAATCTCATTTATGATAGCCACAAATAAAATTAAATAGGAATTAACCAAAGAAGTGAAATAGTTCTCTAATGATAAACTATAAAGCATTAATAATTGAAGAGGACACTAAAAATGAAAACATATTCCAGATTCATGAACCAAAAGAATCAATATTGTTAAAATATCCATAGTACTCAAAGCAATCTGTAGATTCAATGTTATCCTTATCAAAATACCAATGACATTTCTTACAGATATAGAAGACACTATCCTAACATTTGTATGAAAGCACAAAACACCCAGAAGAGCCAAAATTATTCTAAGCAAAACCACCAACCAACCAACCCACCAAAACTGGAGGAATCCCATTGCCTGACTTCAAATTATACTACAACAGAGCTACCATAACCAAAACAGCATGGTTCTGGCATAAACACAGATACATAGACCAATAAAACCGAATACTCAGAAACAAATCCACATACCTACAGTGAACTCATTTTCTACAAAGGTGCAAGGAACATACACCAGGGAAAAGATCGTCTCTTCAATAAGCTGTACTGGGAAAAGTGGATATCTATATGAAGAAAAATGAAACTAGTCCCGTCTCTCGCCATATACAAAGATATAGTCAAAATGGACTAAAGACTTTAAGAACTCAAACTATGAAACTACCAGAAGAAAACGTTGGAGAAAATCTCCAGGATATTTGTCTGGGCAAATATTTCTTGAGTAATACTCCATAACACAGGCAACCAAAGCAAACATGGACAAAGGAGAGCACATTATGTTAAAAAGCTTCTGCACAGTGAAGGAAATAAATCAACGAAGAGACATCCCACAAAATGGAAGAAAATGTTTTCAAACTACACACCTGACAAGGAATTAATAACCACAATACATAGGGAGCTCAAATAAATCTATAGGAAAAAATCTAATAATCTGATTTATATATTGATAAAAGATTGAATAGACATTTCTCAAAAGACAACATACAAATCAAAAACAGGCACATAAAAAGTGCTCAACATTGATCAGAGAAATGCTGATCAAAGCTACAATGAGATACCATCTCATCCCAATTAAAATGGCTCTTATACAAAAGACATGCAAAAATAAATGCTGGTGAGGACATGGAGAAAAGGGAACCCTCATAAACTCTGTGGGAATGTGAAGTTGCATTTAAAGTTGTATTTAAAGGTGCAACAGAGAACAGTTTGGAGGTTCCTCGAAAAAACTAAGAATAGAGCTAACGTATCATCCAGCAATCCCGCTGCTGGGTATATACCCAAAAGAAAAGAAATCAATATACTGAAAAGACATCTACACTTCCATGTTTGTTGCAGCTCTGTTCACAATAGCTAAAATTTGGAAGCAACCTATGTGTCCATCAACAGATGAATGGGTAAAGAAAATGTGGTACTTATACATGATAGGTACTATATAGCCACAAAACATAATGAGATCCTGTCATTTGCAACAACATAGATGGAACTGGAGGCCATTATGCTAAGTCAAATAAGCCAGGCACAGAAAGACAAACATTGCATGTTCTCAGTTATTTCTGGCACCTTAAAATCGAAACAACTGGACTCATGGAGATATAAATTAGAAATATGCTTAGCAGATACTGGGAAGGGTACTGGGGGTGGTGAAGGGGTAGGTGGGGATGGTTAATGGATACAACAAATTTGTTAGAATGAATAAGTACTAGCATAATAGACTGACATCGTCAATAACAATTTAATTGTACACTTAAAAATAACTAAAAGGGTATAATAAAATTATAACACAAAAGATAAATGCTTGAGAGGATACTCCATTTTTCATCATGCATTTATTATGCATTGCATTCCTGTATCAAAACATCTCATGTACCCCATAAATGTATACACCTATGTCACAACAAAAATAAAATTTAGAAAAGTCTGTACCAATGTGACCATGATAAGCCTAATTATATTTTCAATCCATGATTGGTTAAGTCCATGATTGGTTGAATCCTCAGATGCAGAATCCAACTCATAAGCCCAACTGCAGAAGCAGATACTGACACCAGGAGACAGAATGAGCATATTCTGTCCTTGGCTGGTACCCACCCTGTCTTCCAACATTGCTTCTTCCAATATCTCAGAGTATCTTTAAACCACACACTTTCATATTCCTTCATAACTTCTCGTATCCTGCTTCTTTGCTGTGAATTTACCAAATGCATTTCTATATAAACTACCAGTCATAAATGCTCAGATAATATGACAATTTCTTTATGAAGGCGTGCTCTACTCAATCAGTGAGAACTCTCACACCTCAGACATCACAATCCTTCTTTTGTACTCTTCACACAAGCTTCAACTCACTCTTGTATTTTAATTATTCCTAAGTTTCAATGAAAATTCCACATGAATATGTATAATTAAAAATTAATGGGCTATCCAAATGCTGTATAGGTATGAAAGTTAGAAATCTAAATAAGCATTTAAAAATGGCAGGTGGAGGGTTATTAATATGTAAAATTGCAAAATTCTAGATACATTTTAGGTACTGCTATGAAATCCTTAATGAGCTGTACACTTATTTTTTTTATGGATATACTTCAATAGTTGTACAAGCTTCATGTATAGCCACAAATATAAACATATTCTAGAACATAAAATGACAAAATGGTCAACAAAGTTATCCATCATCTTAGGTCCTTGAGGGACTTTTGATGAGTGGACCCCGAGTACCATCTGACAGATTTACAATGTGAACATCACATAAACAATGTTTTTATGCAGCTTGAGATGTTACTATGGCATTACCTTGTGCATTCTGACTGATCCATAATTATATTTAAAATTTGCAACAGTGTTCCCTATTTTATGTTCATAACATATCATCATCTGGCATGACCACATCGTATGTTTTACCTATTCACTGTTTGGGTTTTTGTTATTGCACAAGGAGACCAAAATATATTTATTTTCTTCTCTGTTGTTTTCTAACATTAGCACTATGCCTGGCATATATCACTTTTGCACCAACATAATAGTAAAAATTGATTATTTGTTAAATAAATGAAGAAGGAAAAATGATGGTTAGAGAGATTAGTGCAACTCCTTTAGAGATGAATTCAGTAATATCTCATAACATTGAAGATGTTCTTTCTTCACTACCTAAGACTTCCAAGGAGATTATACAAGGATAGATACTCTTACATTATAAAGCATGAAAAAGTGGTAAACCTAAATATTAATATAAAGAAAATGCACACATGATCAATATTAATACCAATTTATTGTGAACATTTCAATTAGTAAAGTTGAAGGAAAATATGTTGCAGAATGATCAGTGTGTTACCATTTAACAAATACATCCTACTAAAATATTACATTTGGACACATATCTGCAATAAAAATATTAAAAATTGATAGGGAAGATACACACCTGTTTAAAAAAATTGGTCTGAGGACACTAAGAGAGGGAATTCAAGAGAGCACAGATAAGACTTTGATGTATCTGTAAAATATATACCGCCCTGTTTTTGAGTCAGGGTCTTGCTTTGTCAACCCAGGCTGGAGTGCAGTTTCGCAATTGTGGCTCACTGCAGCTTCAATCTCCCGGGCTCAAGCGATCCTCTCACCTCAGCCTCCTGAGTAGCTAGGACTATAGACACGTGCCACTATGCCTCCCTGATTTTTTAAAATTTAATTTTTGGAGAGATGAGGTCTCACTATGTTACCCAGGCTGGTCTCAAATACCCAGGCTAAAGCAATCCTTCCACCTCAGCCTTCCAAAGTGTTGGGATTATAGGCATAAGCTACTGCCCCTGGATGATATATATATGATATTTATTTATATTTTTTATATCAATAGGTTTTTGGGGAACCGGTGGTGTTTGGTTACATTAATAAGTTCTTTCATGGCAATTTGAGAATTTGGTGCACTCATCACCCAAGTAGTGTACACTGTACCTGATGTGTAGTCTTTTATCCCTCACCTGCTTCCACCCTTTCCCCCAAGTCCCCAAAGTCTATTGTATCATTATTATCCCTTTGCATCCTCATAGCTTACCTCCCACGTGTGAGTGAGAACATACAATGTTTGGTTTTTCATTCCTGAGTTGCTTCACTTAGAATAACGGTCTCTAATTCCATCCAGTTTGCTGCAAATGCCATTATTTCATTCCTTTTCATGGTTAAGTAGCATTCATCTATATACATATGAAGATATATGAGTATATATGAATATATGAGTATATATGAATATGAGTATATATGAATATATGAGTATATATGAATATATGAGTATATGTGTGAATATATGAATATATATGAATATATGAGTATATGTGTGAATATATGAATATATATGATTTTATCTACTCATTGATTGATGATCATTTGGGCTGCTTCCATATTTTTGCAATTGTGAAGTGTGGTGCTGTGAACATGTGTGCAAGTATCTTTTTCGTGTAATGATTTATTTTCCTTTGGGTAGATACCCAGTAGTGGGATTGCTGGATCAAATGGTAGATATACTTTTAGATCTTTAAGGAATCTCCAGACTTTTCCATAGTGGTTGTACAAGTTTACATTTGCACCAGCAGTATAAAAGTGTTCTCTTTTCAGCACATCCATACCAATGTCTATTTTTTAAAGATTTTTTGAT
This sequence comes from Homo sapiens, assembly GCF_000001405.40. NCBI lineage: Eukaryota > Metazoa > Chordata > Mammalia > Primates > Hominidae > Homo > Homo sapiens. The sequence continues at coordinate 118,328 of NT_187518.1, read as the reverse complement.
TATGGCCATTCTTGCAGGAGTGAGATGGTATTGCATTGTGGTTTTGAATTTCATTTCCCTGATAATTAGTGATGTTGAGCATTTTTTTCATGTTTGTTGGCCATTTGTATATTTTCTCTTGAGAATTGTCTATTTGTGTCCTTAGCCCACTTTTTAATGGCTTTGTTTTGTTCTTGCTGATTTGAGTTTCTTGTAGATTCTAGATATTAGTCCTTTGTTGGATGTAGAGACTGAAGATTTTCTCCCACTCCATGGGTTGTCTGTTTACTCTGATGATTATGTCTTTTGCTGTGCACAAGCCTTTTAGTTTAATTAAGTCTCATTTATTTTTGTTTTTATTGCATTTGCTTTTGGGTTCTTGGTCATGAAGTCTTTGCCTAAGCCAATGTCTACAAGATAACATTTTCTGATGTTATCTTCTAGAATTTTAATAATTTCAGGTCTTAGGTTTAAGTCTGATCTATCTTGAGTTGTTTTTTCTATAAGGTTACAGATGAGGTTCCAGTTTCATTCTTTACATGTGGCTTGCCAATTTTCTCAGCACCATTTGTTGAATAGGGTGTCCTTTCCCCCACTTTTATGTTTTTGTTTGCTTTGTTGAAGATCAGTTGGCTATAGTATTTGGTTTTATTTCTGGGTTCTCTATACTGTTCCATTGGTCTATATACTGATTTTTATGCCAGTACCAAGCTATTTTGGTGACTATGGCCTTATAGTATAGTTTGAAGTCGAGTAATGTGATGCCTCTGGTTTCGTTCTTTTTTTCCTAGTCTTGCTTTGGCTATGTGGGCTTTTTGGTTCCATATGAATTTTAGGATTGTTGTTCTGTGAAGAATGATGGTGGTGTATTGATGGGAAGTGCATTGAATTTGTCCATTGCTTTGGCAATATGGTCATTTTCAATTATTGATTCTACCTACCCACGAGCATGGGATGTGTTTCAATTTATTTGTGTCATCTACGATCTCTTTCAGCAGTGATTTGTAGTTTTCCTCATAGAGGTCTTTTACCTCCTTGGTTAGGTATTCCTAAGTATTTTATTTTGCAGCTATTGTAAATTGGGTTGAGCTCTTGATTTGAATCTCAGCTTGGTAGCTATTGCTGTATTAACAGAGCTACTGAGTCGTGTACATTAATTTTGTATTCTGAAACTTTGCTGACTTCATTTACCAGTTCCAGGAGCTTTTTGGATGAGTCTTTAGGGTTTTCTTGGTATACGATCATATTATCAGCAAACCGATAGCATAACTTCCTCTTTACTGATTTGGATGCCCTTTACTTCTTTCTCTTGTCTGATTGCTCTGGCTAGGACTTCCAGAACTATATTGAATATAAGTGGCAAAAATGGGCATCCTTGTCTTGTTCCAGTTCTCACAGGGAATGCCTTCAACTTTTCCCCATTCAGAATAATGTTTGCTGTGGGTTTGTCATAGGTGACTTTTATTACCTTACAGCATGTCCCTTGTATGCTGATTGTGCTGAGGGTTTTAATCATAAAGGGATGGATTTTGTCAAATGCTTTTTCTGCAACTATTGAGATAAACACAATTAAAAACACAAGTCACATGGTTATGTGATGTATCACATGTATTGACTTGTATATGTTAAACCATCCCTGAATCCCTGTTATGAAACCCACTTGATCATGATGATTTATCTTTTTGATATGCTGTTGGATTCTGTTAGATAGTATTTTGTTGAGAATTTTTGCATGTATGTTCATCAGGGATATTGGTCTATGGTTTTGTTATGTCCTTTCCTGGGTTTGGTATTAGGGCAATACTGACTTCATAGAATGATCTAGGAAGGTTTCCCTCTCTATCTTGTGGAATAGTGTCAGTAGGATTGATGCCAATTAATTCAGCTGTGAATCCATCTGGCCCCAGACTTTTTTTGTTGGCATTTTTTAATTACCATTCCAATCTTGCTGCTTGTTACTGGTCTCTTCAAAGTTTCTATTTCTTCCTGGTTTAATCTAGGAGCATTGTATATTTACAGAAATTAAATCATCTGTAGGTTTTCTATTTTACACGCATAAAGGTGTTCATAGTAGCCACCAATAAGCTTTTGTATTTCTGTGATATTGGTTGTCATATCACCTGTTTCATTTCTAGTTGAGCTTATTTGACTATTCTCCTGATTAATCTTGCTAACAGTATCAATTTTACTTATTTTTTTCAAAGAACCAACATTGTTTCATGTAGCTTTTGTATTTTTTGTTTCAATTTCATTTAGTTCTGCGCTGATTTTTGCTATTTCTTTTCTTCTGCTGGGTTTGGGTTTGGTTTGTTCTTGTTTTTCTAGTTCCTTGAGGTGTGACCTTAGATTGCCTATTTGTGCTCTTTCAGACTTTTTGATGCAGGCCTTAATAGTATGAACCCCTTATGATTCAGGAATTCCATTAATAAGGATGTATCCAATTTAAATGGGTATGTCAAAGAGATATCTGCACTCCCATGTTCATTGCAACATTATTCACAATAGCCAAGATATGGAATCAACCTAAGTATCCATCAATGGGTGAATAGATATAGAAAACAAGACATATATCCACAGTGAAATGTAATTCAGCCTTTAAATAGAAGAAAATCTTGTTCATTTGTATCAAAGTTGGATATTGTGTTGTATGTATCAAAATATTATAATTGTATATATCATATATACATGTTTATGTGTATAATGTATATTATATATAATACAAAATTATAATTATATATGTAATATATGTGTTGTATATATCAAAATTGCTAAGTGGGTACATTTTAAATGTCTCACCATGAAAATTGGTGATATGTTCTTTAGGTTAATTCCATCATTACAAATAATATACATGTATCAAAATATCACATTGTACCCCATAAAATATGTATTTTAATATTTCAATTAAAAATATTTTTTAAAATAATGCAAAAAGAACATGAAAGTGGAAAAATGATTATAGACATTTTGATCTGGAACTGAAATCAGAAACATGAATATTAATCTATGATTTCTACACACATTTATATATAGATGGTGTCTACTTCATCCTTTTTTCACATTTTATAGATATAATTTGAATTTTTTTATTCTATCTTCTTGAATTAGGAGATTAGTCAATATTTAGGCTTCCTTTCTTCTTAATGATCTATGGGGACAAATTTTTCTGTAACCACTGGTTTAGCTGCATCCTACACGTTTTATGTCGTGTTTATATTATTCTGTCAAAGGCCCACCTGTGATTGATTTTGGTGAGAATCCCATGTGCACTAGAAAATAACGTGGACTTTTCTTATTGTTGTGAGCATTCATATCTACAAGTTTTGTTGCCATTAAGTATGTTGTATAAATCTTTTATAACTTTAGTAATTTGGAGGTTTATGTGCTCTATCACATATTGGTGTGTTAACATACATACCATTAAATTGAGCAATGACTGGGCAAAAGGAAAAATCAAAGGAGAATTAAAATCTCAAGACAAACAAAAAATACAATATACTAAAACTTATGACATGCACCAAATCCAGTACTAAGAGAAAAGTTGATTGCAACGAATAGCCACATGAAAGAAAAAATTCAAATTAACCAACTTTTTACCTCAAGAAACTAGAAACAGAAAGCCTAAGTCCAAAGTTATCATAGAGAATAAAATATTAAAGTAGAAATAGGAGACTGGAAAAACTAGAAAAATCAGCAAAACTATTTAAAAATTAAAAGGTGATAAACCTTAGCTAGACTAAGAAAAAAAGTATCCTAAACTAAAATGAGAAATAGGAGGAGTCATTAGAACAAATGCCTCAAAATGAAAAGGATCATAAAAGACTATTATGAAAATTATGCACTTATAAATTAGATAATCTATAAGAAATCAAACTTCTTGATTTATACAACCTACCAAAACTAAAGAGGAAATAGGAAGCCTGAACAGACCAATAAGAACAAATTAGTAAACAAAAGATTCCCAGAGAAAAGACCAGAACCAAATGGCTTCGTGGATGAATTCTAAACATTCAAAGAAGAATAGCAATCCTTCTTAAACTCTTTCAAAAACCAGGAGAGAACGCCCCAAACTCATTTTATGAGGCCATCATACACTTATATCAAAGCCAGACAAAGATAATCACAAGCAAATAAAACTGCAGGTCAATATCACTGATAAACATAGGTGTAAAAATCTTCAACAAAATACTAACAAACCAAATTCAACAGCCCATTAAAAAGAGAATAAACCATAGCCAACTGAAATGTATCTCTGGGATGCAAGAATGCTTCAACATAGGCAAATCAATCAGTGTGATATAACACATTAAGAGAATAAAAAAATTTGCAGCAAAAACATTTGACAATTCATGTAAAAACTCTGAAAAACAGGTATAGAAGGAACTTAGTTCAACACATCATATAAGAAAAGCCCACAGTTAATAAAAAATGAAAATGTTTCTCCTATGGTCTGGTACAAAGTGAGGATGTCCATTGTCACCAGTTCTATTTAACATGGTACTGAAAGTCCTAGCCAAAGCAATGAAACAATGAGTTAAATTATGATAATTTTTCAACATAATTGTCCTCGTATCCTATATTTTCCTAGGTACTGAAGACCTCTAATGGACAGATTTTTTTAAAAGATAATTTGAAGGGCCAACTGTGTAGTCAGACTTTATATTCTTATGGTGATGTTTACTTTTGTTGTAACACACTAGATCACTTTCTTAGAAGTTCCCTAAAGTTGGGAGTTTGGGGGAACTAAGTTACAGGAGAGTCTCCCTGCTGTGGATTGGGGACAGTTGAGGGACCATTTCTGAAATGATTATTCACGACTTGAGCCAGATTATCTAGACTTCGTTATTGAACTAAACATCTTTGGAAAATTAACGCTGTTTTTGGCCTCTTGCCAATCAAGCGGTCTTTTCAGGCCTCTCTTAGGTGGAGTCATGAAAACAACTCATCCCTCCCTCTTAATACGTGTCTATCACTGCACAGTTAGGGTCACATTCTTCTTACTCTTGCAAGGCGATGAAATGCAATGACATGCAGATCTACTCAGCTGGGCCTTGGATTGCCAGAGGCAGAGGGCTTGAACTTAATTTTATTCTTACCTAGAGCATGAGCCCACGAAGCTTCCTCAATAGGATAGCAATGTAGAAGGGCCACAGTGCAGAAATAGAGTTTCAGTCAATCTTATTCAACTTGAACTTCTACATGAGAGCTGGGTTGTATCAACATCGAGGATAAAGGGGGGAATCTCAAACTGCTGGTGGGAATTACAATGGGTTTTCTGTCTTGTTTTCTGGTTTGAGAGCGTGCACTGAGTCAATGCCAGGAGTTTAAAAAATACGTACAAGCTTCCGCTCCTAGGGAAGCGTAGTATGGAAATAATCAGATGAGTGGGCAATTTATTAAAAAAGTGCATTCCGGTGTTATTTGCAATAAGAAAGTGGAAGTAACCTAAGCGTCTGCTAACTGGACACGTACTAAATAATTTAGGTTTTAGTACATAATAGAATTCTAAGTGACCAGTGGAATGTGAGGTGATCTATGTTCATTCTTCATCCTATAGCAGGTTCATTGTATTCTTAAGTGAAAAGGTGGCATATTTTCAACCTATATAATCATCTCCTTACAACTGTATTCTCTATTTCTAAGAACAAGATTATAATACATGCTGTGTATGTATTAAGGGATTTCATTTCAAAGATAATCAAAAAAGGTAAAGATTTTTACAATCTTTCAAATTACACAAAGCCATTATTTGCAAGCATCCCTGCCTTGGGCCAAGACTATATTATCCTTTCTCCCTTTGAAGTAGTTTCCCCAGTTTATACAGGGAGACAGAAAAGCAGTTCTCTTCATTAAACCTTCAGCTATTCAGAAGCTGAGGCCCAAAGATATGGTTTTAACTATGTTCAAACATGTTTTCTGATTTTAATTTTTCCAAGTTTATAGAATACTTCATTAACATCACTGGTCATTTCAATTAAACACTTTGGAAATCCAGGGAAAGAACAATTTTGATAACATCAACTGACATATGTAATCCTAAACTTTGCATTTAAATTTTCAGTCATGAAAGTGTTTTCTGCTTCTACCCTTGAGAAATGCCCCTTAATGGGACTTACCTCCTGTTTGCTTCAAAGAAGGAATATATGAAGAATCTAGCAAAAGCCAATGACTTTTTTACATAAGCTCCAATTTTAAAATAGTTAAACCACTTATCAGTGAAGCTGGAAATAATTTTAGTTTTTTGGTGTTTTTTTGCTTCTAGCATCACCCTTGACATGCAGTTCTATGTGAGCCTATAAAAGTCTAACTTTGTTAATCTTCAGTTTCCACGTCGTCTCTTCAAACCTGAGATGCCAAGGAAACTTTCTTTTAAAGATTTTTAAAAGGTACTAAGCCTTCTAAAATGAAAGTTTTTCATTCATTTATTACACTAGTATTTATTAAGGGCAAATTCTGTATTAGGAAAAATTTTAAGTGCTTGCGATGCCTAACAATTCTTGTTTTTAGGTATGTGATGATTTAATAAAACCAAATAAGCTTAAAGTGCTCATAAAAAATACAATGTGAAACAACCAGAGTTCAAGCTACAGGTATTTACCATTTTATATTCTTTGCTAGTTGTATAAACCAAAGGAATGTAGTCAAAACAAACCAAGTATTTTCCTGGCCTTTATTACCTGGGATTTAGAAGGAAGCACACAGTGAAATGCTGCTAAGTGTGTGACATGGTCACGGGAGTCACCCAGGTTTAAGAAATCCATCCTCAGTACAATCACAGCTGAAAAAGAAGCTTAAAAATGCATCTGGTTTTTATCATTTGTGTGTGAATCAGCCTGTTGTTTTAACTAAATAACCTATCGATGCCATAAAGTTGTCTATGAATACAATTGCTTTATGTATGGAACTTCTTTGTAGAGTCAGGACCTGACATTTCAGTCATTTTGTTTTCACAGAATTGTCAGAATTCTTTAGCAGAACTTCACTTCATTTAAAGTCAGTTGTCCAACTTGACAGGGATGTTCTGTCACTTTTTCAGATTTTTAATTTTTGTGGATACAGAGGTCTGCATTTTGTTTTCTTTACGCTAAATAATTATCTAATTATCTTCAGTTTCTCTGATCATTCCTTTTTGCCTGATATCTTCCTGAGCATTGAATAAAGCAGTTAATAAGGTATTTAATAAGTAGACTTTATGCTTTCTTCTATTACAATTTTATATTGCATATAGATGTTTATTGTATAAAACAAGTCTGTAGAAGCAAGTTAATTTTATATCCATATCCCTTACCTGCAGAAAGACCCCACAGGGAATCTGATTACCCCTCAATGTGGGTCATCAGGTCCTTGGCTAGACCAGCCTAACTAGCATCCAACAGCAAATGAACATGGCTTTTATCAGCATGTTGCTCTGAAGGGACCTTTGTCCCCAGGTCATTATTAGGGTTAACAAGCTGGCAGATACACATTGTGCCATGTGCTTCTCCCCTTTGTTTTGTTTTTGAGACAGTCTTGCTCTGTTGCCAAGGCTGGAGTGCAGTGGCACAATCTTGACTCACTGTAACCTCCACTCTGAGTTCAAGCGATTCTCCTGCCTCACCTACCAAGTAGCTGGGATTACAGGCATGTGCCACCACGCCCAGTTAATTTTTTGTATTTTTAGTAGAGACAGGGTTTCGCCATGTTGGCCAGGCTGGTCTCGAACTCCTGGCCTCAAGTGATCCAACTGCCTCGGCCTCCCAAAGTGCTGAGATTACAGGCATGAGCCACCATGCCCAGCCACTTCTCTCATTTGTAAATTGTTTATCAGTATCATGGCTTGGCACAAAACACCAGACCAGAGGTTAGAAGACGTGGTTCTGAAGCCCCATCTGCCTCTTGCTGGAATGGGGCAATAATTTGCTGTGAACATCAGCTTCTTCATCTCCCATGGGGCTAATTCTTTCTCTAAATACTTTATAAGAATTTGTGAAGATCAGAATCAAAATCAGGTAATGTAGTTAAATGTTTTCAAAACTAGGGACAGTCTTCTATTTTTTCCTCATTACCTGGATTAGTGCATGCCATGTTTCAGGTATACAACTGATAATTTAGTAACTTAAATATGATGTGTATTACTCAATATTAAAATTTATATATTATTTTAATAAAGAAGCAAATCTGGTGACCACAAATTACCTTATGTAAGAATTTGGTGAGATGACTGGGGAAAAATCCTTGGTCACTCCCTTTTACAGTGGGACTAGTTTTATGTGTGAAGGGAGTGGATACACACCATGTGTAAAATGAGATTAAAATTTTTTTTTAAGTTGTATTAAAGTAGAGCCTAACAGAAAAGCACACACATCAACAGTGGAAAGATTGATAAATCACCAGGAAAAGAACACGTTGATGTAACCACCATGAAATTTGTTAAATAGACTCAAACATTGAATAAGTCACCTCCTTCCATGCCCCGATCACTAATGTCCATGATATCCCTAGAAACTTGTCAAAATGCATTTCGCTTATTGCTTCAGGTATACTCTTGAAATGTCTGTCAATGTTAGAGTTAAATATTCTAGTTAAATATGCAAAGAATTAATCTTGGAAACATAAGAATAAAAGTCCTAATTTTTAATACATAGCAACTGAGGAAATGGGAAAGAAAACACATATCCCAGGATAGAGCACAAATGCAATGTGAACTGAAGGAGTTTTGTAGAGGGAAGATCGAGAAGGTGCTAGCTAAGGCAGGAGAATGGAGAATATGGAGGGCATTAGTGCAGAGACACAAAAGAATAAAATGTGAATGGAGCTGAATTGAAATAACACCGAGGATATTTCATAAATGAATCCTGGTCTGTTTCTTCACTTAATCCCTCCAGGACATTCTTCCATCTCTTTTCCATGTGTTTGATTTCAGGGTAAAGATCAAATTATTAGGAACCTTCTGAATGAAAAGCCACCTAGGGGTTAGCATATTGAAGGGAATATTCTTTATCTACGTCAGCAACAATGGAGGAAACATTTTTCCTTCTATCTGTGTTGACACTAGAACAACATAAGGCTGAGTAACCTTTGCTTAGTCTTTGTCAACTATGTAACCGCTCTGTCCAATGTTTTCTAAGCCTCGTATCAACAAAGAAAATAAACACCAGGTCCGTCAATATTTTTTATGTCTCATATTTCAGGACCTTACACACAGGAGAAACTAAAGTTACATGAATGGTGGGGTCAGTGTAGTCTTTGCTTAGTTAGTATTCCACCAAAGTTACACATCTATCAAAGCACCACACCTAACTCCAACTAATTACAAAAATACTTGTCTTCAGCATATCAATGAAGATGTTGAGAATAAGAAAATTGAGCAACTTATTCCACGGGAACTAAGTTAGCTAATAAAATGTCTTGGTTTATTCATTCTACATTTATCTATTAACAATTTGAGCATAAATGGCAGTTTTGTAGGTTTTTGGCCATGTAACAATCTTAATGGCAGAGTCAATTTTCAATCAATGAATCAATATTTCCAGGAATATATTGGACTCCATGTGAATAAAGGCAGGGCAAGTATTTAATTTCAGAGGTAAGTGATAACATTCATAAAATGTAACTAAGAACATGGAACCAAAAATAGTATCACCTTCCTAAATGTTTTCTAATAAAATTGCTACACATTTAGCACTAGAAAATATTTTACTTGTATTGAATGTTTGAAATTAAGTCATCAAGGAGGTGGCAAATGCTCCTTCCAATTTCCATTCAAAAGTTGGTCAGCAATACAGACAGACAGGCAGGACTCATGATCACAGGTTAACAATAGAGACAGGCAGGACTCAATCACGTGTTAGCAATACAGACAGGCAGGACCCATGATCACACGTTAGCAATACAGACAGGCAGGACCCATGATCACACGTTAGCAATACAGACAGGCAGGACTCATGGTCACACGTTAGCAATACAGACAGGCAGGACTCATGGTCACACATTAGCAATATAGACAGGAAGGACTCACGATCACACGTTAGCAATACAGACACAGAAGGACTCATCACACGTTAGCAATACAGACAGGCAGGACTCATGATCACACGTCAGCAATACAGGCAGGCAGGACTCATGATCACACGTTAGCAATACAGACAGGAAGGACTCATGGTCACATGTTAACATGGGCACTTCCAAGAGCTGCTTGGCGTGCCATGAATGGTTTGTAGGGCTACTTGACTGAGAATGCCCTCTGGAAATGTTTGTGAATCCAGTTGAACAAAGTTGACTAATGCGGAGATGCTCACCAACTTCGCTACTGTTCCTAAGTAATCCTTGCAACAGGATGATTTTGCCTGTTAATTTTGAATTGCTGAAAGTGACACTGAACATTCTTCAGAACCAATACCATATTTTCTGTAATAGCTGCGTTATTGGCCGCAGCACCGCAGATGTTTGCGCTAGTCCTTGCTAGTCCTTCCTGATCAGTCACCACCCCTGATGCTCTGGGAGTCCCCGCTAATCCTTCCCGATCACAGTCACCACTCTGATGCTGTGGGAGTCCCTGCTAGCCCTTCCTGATCACAGTCGCCACCCTGATGCTCTGGGAGGAACCACATCTCCCTAGTACTTTCCTCAGAGCTGCAGCCACATCTTTATTCCTCAAGCTGTAGATGAGTGGGTTGAGCATGGGGGTGAGGATGGTGTAGAAGGCAGACACCACTTTATCTTTCTCTGGAGTGTGGTAGGAGTGGGGCAGCACGTTGGTGTAGAAGGCTGCCCCGTAGAAAACGCTCACCACCATAATGTGGGAGGAACACGTAGCAAAGGCTTTGCGCCGGCCCTCAGCAGAGTTCATCCTGTGGACAGTCAGGAGGATGTGCGTGTAGGAGACAGAGATGACAGATAGAGGGATAAGCAGCATCAGCACGCAGCAGGCATACATCAGGGTCTCATAGAGTGACGTGTCTGTGCAAGACAACTTCAGCACGGCTGGGATCTCACAGAAAAAGTGATTGATCTCTCGGGATCTACAGAAGGGGAAACTCATAGTGACAGGAGTCAGCATGAACCCATCCAAGGAACCACCAACCCAGGAGCCGACCACCATGAATAAGCAAACCCTGCGGTTCATGAGGAGAGGGTACCGTAGAGGGTTGCACACAGCCACATAGCGGTCATAGGCCATGAGACCCAGCAGGAAGAATTCCCCTCCAATCAGGGTCAGGTAGAGGAAGATCTGAACTGCACAGCCCAGGAAGGAAATGGTCTTGTCCTTGGACAGGAGGTCCTGGAGCATCTTGGGGACAGTGATACAGATGTAGATGGTATCCATGATGGAGAGCTGGCTGAGCAAGAAGTACATGGGTGTGTGGAGGCGGGAGTCCATGTGGATGAGCAGAATCATGACCAAGTTGGCTGTTATAGCCACCACAAAGATGGAGAAGACTATTGCAAAGAGAAGCCCGGGGAAGGCAGGATGGGTGATGAGGCCTGTGAGGACGAAGTTAGTGGAGTTCTGGAGAAGACCCTCCATGCCCATGGTCCATGACAAGCTCCTTGGGCTGTAAAGGCAGAAATCTGGCAGCTTATTTAACGACCTGATATGTAGGAAGAGCCCACCAGGAATAGTATGTCAGAAGCAGCGTGAGATCAAGAAAAGATCACCTACTTCAGGATCATTTGAAATCCTGGGTTTCAGTATTAATGATCTGTATGATATTGGACAGAAAATTAATCTCAACTCAATTTCATCATCTGTGAAAGGTCATCATAGTTCTGTACTCTACAGGCTGGATGTGAGATGTAAATGTAATTCATACAGTACCTGGTTTAGAATCTGATTTTTACTTTGAACTATCTTCTGAATACATTTCATAATCTTATCACTTTTAGATTGAAAGTTTTCTGAGGGTGGTTACTGTGCCTTATTTCCCATTTCGCCTAGCGAAATGATTTGAATTTAAATTGCTCTCTGCATCTCCATCGAGATGATTGTACTAGAGTCATCCACAGACGTCTATTTGTGACTTAAATTGATAGAAAACATCTAGATAACTGACTTTTTTGGCTGCTGTTGTTACTGAACAGCTTTATGAAAGTCAGGAACATCAAAGCAGTACAGATGACCTCATTTGGGGTCAGGAGCCACACTGTCTTGTGGTTAGACTTTTGTCCTGCAAAAGGAGTTCATCTTTTAGGCATGGACTGCTGTGAGAACTTGTGTCTATTTGTTCTCACAGAATAATTTGGGGATCATAAATCTGGCAGGACAACCACCACAAACTGCTTCAGAACAGGGCTTTAGTTTCGTTATCCTGGTGGTCTTTCCAGTTGACAATGAATTCTGCTAAAATTTAGATGCTGCATCATAGAATTCAATCATGACCTCATCTTAAAATATTGTTTAGCCAAAATGTTAGAGTTTCTCTGACAGAGTGGCATCCTGAACCTGTCCTAATATTATATCATCCTAGTAATCCACTGCTACTTGGGTTTTTTCCTCAAGTTTATTTCTCTACCATTTTACTGATCCTTCATGTTTATAAGTAAAAATAACTACAGTCGGGTGCAGTGGCTCCCACCCGTGATCCTAGCACTTTGGGTGGCCGAGGCAGGCAGATCACTTGAGGTCAGGACTTCGAGACCAGCCTGGCCAACATGGTGAAACCTCATCTCTACTAAAAATACAAAGATTAATCGGGCATGGTGGCAGGTGCCTGTACAATCCCAGCTACTCAGGAGGCTGAGGAAGGAGAATCGCTTGAACTTGAGAGGCGGAGGTTGCAGTGAGCTGAGATCGTGCCATTGCACTCCAGCCTGGGGGACAAGAGTAAGACTTTGTCTCAAAAAACAAAACAAGAAAACAAAAACTATAGATGGTAAAGAAATTTCTGAACTCAGACGCGACACAGCAGTATCAAACATTCCTTGAATCAATGGAATGAATTCTCATGCTTTTTTGAGTAATATGAATGTGTGTCCCTTTTATATGTTCAGGAATACTGAGGGATGAATTTTTCTTTATTAGATTATGGTGTATTTCTTCTCATTTTAGTGACAGGATTACTGAAGAAACTTGTTTTCTGTCAAACGTTTTGGCCACCAATACTACAAATGTATCTGAATCTTTTGGTTCTAGAATAGTCAAAATTTACAGTCCCTGAAGCATCAAGGAATAAACTCTCCTTATGTTGAAGCAAAAACAATAGCAACAGTAGAGTTTTCCTTCTTAGTGCTCAGAGATGGAGATATGAGTAATAGGCCTAAAAGATGAATAAACATCCAAAGGGAGAAAGAAAAAAAAGCAATTTTTGTGTTGGTCTGTGCTGAAACTTCAGTTTGTCACACCTTGGTTGAGGAGAAAAAAATACATGAGCATCAAATATTAACTCCTGTCAAGCGTGATAAAAGTCAGCTACTTTTGCCTTCTCTAACAGGTGAAAGATTTTCTTGTGATAGCCACAGCTTCGAATCATGGGTCAAGAGACTATTTAAATATACAATTCCATTTGCAGTGGCTTTTGCAATAGCTTGTTGGAAATTAAAAATATTAATCTCGCAGACAGTAAGTTTGTCTTGACCCACATCTATTGTTTCAGTTAAATGCATTATGGATATTATACATTAATTACTATAGTGTTAGGTTAGCTGACAATCATCCTTTTAAAAATATACTTTGAGGAACTGAAATAGGCAAGAATGAGACAAACGAAAATGACCTAAGAAAATAACCAATTACTTTTGAATCAGAACATGAACCAGAGCATTTTGTTTCATGTAAATAATCAGACTCCACAAGGTATTCAAAGAGGAGGTAAAACACTATTGCCTCAAATGTCTATGATAAAAGGATAAGAACGTTTTCAACTCCTAGATCTTATCTTACTGTAGGATCCCAGAAGAGGAGAGTAAAAAAGCTGAAACAGGAGAAAGATATGATTTTAGCCACCTCATTTTTATACAACCGAGACCGTGTTAAAAAAAAAAAAAGAGGTTCCTTGTGAGTGTGAGCGTTGTGTGTACATGTGTGTGTAGTGTGTTCATATGTGAGTGTGTGAGCATGGTATGTGTGGTGTGTGCATCTGTGAGTGGGTGGGGATATGTGTAGGGAAAAGGCCCTGCTAAAGAGCAGAACTACACTGCTTGGCACAAACGAGCAATTCACCCATTTCAATGAAGCCAATATTTAGAACCAAATGTGACATGTTCAAATGCATGCCTAATGTTATTCCATAGGCTACTGGGCATTGCAAGTAGACAGGGAAAATATCTGCATTATGGACAAAACATGTCATCAGTTACTTCTGTTTACATCAGTTCCGAGCATCTACATTTTAACATTAGAGTTGATGCTATTTAGCATTACGATGTGTGGTTTGACTTATTCACACATACAAGATCCTAGATTCCATTCCCCATCAGGTCATCTTTCCCTCACTATCATCATTCTCCACTCTAAGACACTTAGGTTCCCCTTCATCAACTAGTCTTTCCAAAAAAAAAAAAAAAGAAAAAGAAAAAGAAAAAGAAAAAGCTTTTATTTGCGTGATCAAAGCTTCAGGCTCTTCAAGGCGGTGAATGATTTCTCCCCAGTGCAGATTAGAACATAACCCAGAACCCCTGACCCCCAGGACCAGTTATAACATCACCCAGTGTTGCAACATAATCATCTGGCAGGAATGGGAGGGTGGGAAGATCAAGCCGAGAGGTGGAGGACACCAAGCACAGGAGCTCCACATCTGTTATCTGCACACTTGGGGCTGATGGATGAGGGATGAGTGAGCTCGCCAAGAGGCATTTATTCTACCTGTGGTCTGCCACATGGAGAAGAGGGAAAGGAGAATCTCTGCAGGGTGCCAGGTGATCAAAGCTGTATGTTTCAGGACAACAGCCCTGGAGTTGTTCTGGGAGAAGCCATAGAAATCAAGAACAATTGGTGACTCACCGAAAATTGAAGAGATCTCCAAGAGAAGTCACAGGTTCTTCTACCAGGGAGAAGAGCTTAGAGCAATTCATTCTGACACCCCTTTCCGGGAATTCAGCATGACTAGAGCTATGAGAAGTATCTGCCAGTGTCCTTTCTGTGGCAATAAAGCTGCTAACCAGAACTGATCTTCTCCACTTGACACAACGTACCTGTAAAGCTTGAAAGGGAAGGGTTTTCCATTCCATCCTTAGAGACAGAATGCCTGAAGCACAAACACATTCCGTGTTCAAAACACTCACCTAGCACTGGGTGAGCTATGAAGATTGATAGAACTGACAATATTCTTAAGGGGCACATAGTTAAGTTTGATTAATGTATCATATCAAAAATCCTCATAGAAACAGATCATTTTAAGTCTAAAGTGGGGATTTCTAAAAATGAAAATATATTGGGGACTTTTTAAAGGTGTTTAGCCACAAATAACAGCTAATGCCATTGTGCTTTGCTCAGCTGTCAAATTGCTCTGGGGATGACACGCATAGTTACTTCTCCAGACCTCAGTGTTCTTTCAGTAAAAGAATGGCATGTCACCAACATGTTACTAATCCTAAGTGCCACATAGCTCTAAGAGTCATCGATTATTTGTTCCTGAATGAGAAAAAGGGGGCCAAGGATAGTATATTGGGATCTTTCTGCTTTGATTAAAGCTTATGAGAGAAGATAATGGTGTGGAAGGCACTAAGAGACGGAGGAAGAGAAACAGGAAGTTTGGTATTCCCCAAACCATAAACCAATAGGGCTTTACGTGTGCCAGGTACTTTAGAAGTTTTACATACATGAAGTCATAGCAAACCAGAAGATGCTATGCATCAGTTTGAGTAGTGGACAAAGGTACAGTTTCCCCTTATCAGTGGGAGACAGTTTTCAAGACCCCCACTGGATATCTGGAACTGCAGACAGTACTGAGCCCTATATATATACCATATTTTATCCCATGCATACATACCTATGATCAAGTTGAATTTATAAGTTAGGCACAGTAAGAGATTAACAATAATAAAATAGAATACCTAAGACAATATACTGTGGCTATAACTTTTTCAGTTTGATGTGACAGCAAAACTTGCATAATTTTTTCCTTCATGATTTCAAAGATAAAGTTTTTCTTAATATAGATCTTGGCAAAGTCAGCTTATGAGGGTTTCTCTCTCCTTAAGTCAAGAACTTTCACCTTTTTAGTTAAAGCAAGCACCTTACAGCCTCTCTTTGGCACATCTAAATCGCCAGCTTCACTAACTCCATCTCTTTGGAGCCATTAAGAAAAACTGAGTTACTTGAACACAAGCACTGAGTCCGCCACAGTCGATTTGATAACCTAGACAGCTACTGAATGACTCAGGGGGTAGCATAGACAGTGTGAATCAACTACACAGAGGGATGATATTTCCACCACACTACTCAAAATGGTGGGCAATTTAAAATTTGAGATTTTTCATTTAATATTTTCTACACATGGTAGATAGCAACCTGGCGGATTGCAGGTTAACTAAAACTATGGAAATGAAAGTGTTAAAGAGAGGAATACCATGTCAGAATTCTTTACCTCAAAGGTTCAACCCTAGGGCTAGAGACTGAAAGGATCTTAAAGCATGAAACTTTTAAAGAGCATCTAAGTGATCACTGCTTTGAAAATAGTGGATCACAAGAACCAGGAGAAGACAGGAGTCAGTTCAGTTAAACAGTGCAATAGTAGAGAGGGAAACCGGTCTGATTCCGAAACTCGAGACTGAAGGAGAGAGGACATGATCAGAGACAATGTAAATAATGTCAAAAGGCTCGCAAATGGGAATTAGCAGGCACTAGGGGTGGAAGAGAGAGGGGAGAGTCCAGTCTAACTACAGCTGAAGAGCCCGTGGAGAGCTGAGGTGTGTGGGGTGGAGTGCGGCTGGAAAGTGAAGGCAGGGAGACCAGAACTCAGCGTCGAGAAATAAGGTGCAAATGGGAGTTGTTTCAGTCAGAAAGTTACATGCTGAAATAAGGTACTTATGAAAGATCCACCTGGCAGTTTTAGTCTTGAAAGCAAGATTAATATTAATTGCTACTCATAAGTGTTCATAGCCACAGTGGGCTTTGGCCAGGAACTCCTTTTCTTCTTCTACCTACACAAGCTACTCCTGTACTCCGTCTGCTTTTATGAATGAACGCATTTGGACCTTGCTTCCTACATTAATCAGATTTTATCCCCTTCTCTCCACAGCAACGTAGTATCCAATGATGTGAATTTCTCTTTTCCCTTACCTTATCTCCAGTTCTAATTACATACTGCCTTAGTTACCACCCCCCTTTATCTGCCTATTTATTTAAATGGTAACTGTTTTCATTCATGGAAAAGTAGTCTACTTTCCCTCCCATCCCAACTGACAATTTGGAAATTTTCAGTGTGGAAAATTAGGCATAAGATAGAAGTTTTCTTGGCTTTAAAAAAAAAAAAAAAATCAGCACTATAATGGCATGTAGGTGAACATTTACTGAACACTTACTATGCCAGAAGTTAGTTCAGTTTGAAGAATACAGGTTTTAATGCTACATGCCAACTTACCTAAACTACATTGTCAAGGATATCACCAATGGACAAGAAAGAAAGAAGTACATCTGGTTTCCTGGAGCATTGAGAGTAAAAGGTCTAAATTCCAAGCTGCCAGCAGGAGGGCTGTGATGTGGATGTGCAGGGGAATGCTTCTGGGCAGCAGTGTCAGTTCGTGTGGTGGCAAATAGAAATCAAAGGATCTGGCATATGGCCCATCCAGTCCACCCTGCTAACGCTGTGGAAGAGGAAATGGAGAGTAAGGGAATGGAGGATTACACAGGAGCAGCAGAGGCGAGGTGAGGCGAGGCGAGCCCATCTAGTCCACCCTACTAATACTGTGGAAGAGGAAATGGAGAGTAAGGGCATGGAGGATTACACAGGAACAGCAGTGGTGAGGTGAGGTGAGCTGAAGCAAGGGGCAGACACCTGCAACTATAAACACAATGCACTCATTATTATACCCCTACAGCCTGAGCTTCCAACATGTCCACATCTCCCCCTGGGCTCCAGTTACTCAGCTCAACAGGCTTTTATATGCCATGCTAAGATGGCTTCTAGGAGACCTCTAATAGTTTTATTAAAAAAAAAGATCTTAAGGCACACGTGGATGCCTTATGGGTTCAATAAAAGAGGAAGGAGGTTAAAATGAAAAAAAAAAATCATGATTTCCCTCCAAGCATGAAGTCTTCAGCCACACCTAAATGCATATGAACGGAGCAATTAATCATTTAACTTAAAATGTAAATTAAAATTTTAACAAAATATTCAGAGGGCAATCTATGCTTATCCAATAGTATGCACCCCTGCTACCAATTAATTCTGAAACTTTCTCATTGTGAATACCAAGCACATTCTTCTAACTGTCGGCTCTTACATGCCATTTTCCTTCAGTAAATCTATTCATGTTCTTCTAAACTATTACATTTCCCTTAGCTTCCCACGTTTCATGCTAAATGCCCTTTTCCAGTTGTCTGCTTGCCAGATAGTGAATATATGTTATTTATGCTTAATCTTGAGAAGACCACTGCCTCAGTTATTAGCAGATAAGCTCACAGTAGTAACGTGGCCTTCTAATAGTTACAGAGTAATACCTGAAGAAAACATCCCAGTATCTGGGTGATGTTCTGTTTTTCATGAAGATCTAAGGATCCTACCTCAGAGAAGCTGGGTCCAAGTCTTTCTAAAGCAGTAGTGGAATGTCAGACTTCTTATTAAATACATTGTGTAGGGGTGAGGCTAGGTCAAAAAGTCTTTTCACTAATAGAGTCCCACATCCCCCAGGAAGAATTCCTGGGTTAGCAATTAATCCAAGTTGACTGGGTTTACCATGAACTTTAGAAGCAGCCTGTCCTTTCTTGCAGAGGGTGCATTGTTTTCCCAAGTGAAGGACTGGAATCGTTTCTTGGTATTTCATCATGAAAATGTCTTACTGAATCTTGGCATCTCTCCAGAGAGATTTTAAAGGCAGTGATGTGGGGATAAGAGCCTCGCTCTAAATTGAAAATTAGATTTTAAATTTCTTTAGAAATAGAGGCTATGACAAACTAAAAAAGCTCTTTCTCAAAAGTCACTGGCCTCTTGTTTGGGGAGAAATCTTTAAAGTTATAAATAAGTGTGAACCAAAAAGCATTGGAGCCAAGTCTCAATCAATGTAGATGTTTCTGGTGCCAAGGTTGAGGATGCACCTGGGAAAAAGGAACACAATATGACAGGAGCATCTGAGATTTGTGCTTCTTCCAAAGACGGTTGGGAGACTTCAATATTTAAAAGGGAAACAGTGGGCATTAGAGGAAAAAAAAGAAAAAGGAAGTGTGAATAAATGAAGTAGTTTCCTTCTTTGCAGGCTTTAATCAGTGTTGACTGAATTCGCACTTTAGATGTGACAGGAGAGGGTTTAGAGGAACACTCAACTGGGCGTTCATCTCCTGCTCAGTGAATCTGGATTGTATATAAGATAAGGTACACAGTAGAGGAAGCAGTCAAATATGCATTTGTTTCAGGGGAGTGGAGGGATGACTCCCAGGCCTGTCTTTGTCCACTGCCTGTCAAGATAAGCCATTCATTTACATTGTCAGCATGACAATTCAAGAGAATGGTTTTCGGGTAAAGATCTTTGGGCCAGCAAGGAATTTCCTTGCTAGCAGATTGTGAGGGAGGTCCCTTGGGGAGGTATGTAGCCTTCTACCTGTGTAGCTGTCCATTCCGGAACAGTATGGAATCTGTAGCCATACAGTCGGGAACAGATATGGAATATAGTTTTGCATGACAGAGTTCCCAAGCTTGACTTTTCCCTTTGGCTTAGTGAGTTTGGGTCCCAAGAGATTTTCCTTCTACTTTCTCCTATCTTCTATTTTCACAAAAGTGGCATTTGTCACTTAGGTTAAGTGTTTTTCAGAATTATTTGTCTTACGTGTACTACAGAAGAATATTGACCTCAGTAGGAATAAAGGAGACATAAGAAAAATGATGGAAATAACGCAATTGGTAGAGAAAAAAGTGAGGGTAATACAAGTTATGCATTTTCTAAAGTTTTCACCAGAGCACATTAAGATATTTAAACATTAGGAAAATTGAACTTCCTAACATTTATTTCTCTAATGGGGAAAAGAAGGTGGTCTTATTACTAAAGTTCTGCTTCCCAAACAACATCATTGAATGCTTTTCATGCATTAAGTCAGCTAATGGGCAACATTACTTATGATTGCTAGTCATCACAAATCCATTGGACACATACCTTATACCCTCTGTTGCAGATAAGCAGAAAACCCATACCCTTTTTCAGCCTTTAGAATGTTATTCAATAATTCCTGAATATTTTATATGTCATCCATAAATAAAGTTCTCCAACTAACTATTGGATTGATTGGATACACTCTTCCCTCTGGTGTGATGTGTCTTTCTCCAGAGCCACAAATGGGTTACAACCAATATTGATCCTCTCAACCCTGGATTGGTCTTCAGTGCCCGATTTGGCTACAGCCACAGGGGAGTTGATTTTGCTGTCAACAGCCACATCAGTTTTCCTCAAGGTGCCATATCACTAATTTTTATAGTTATGTCATGAAAGCGTTTGAGAAGTGCTGCTGTATCAGTTTGGAAAATTGTTAATACAAGCCCAACTTAAGGAAAAAACAGACCTGTGAACAGTGTATTGATTGGTATTAGTTTCTAACTCATGTTCATGTGTCACAATACTTTGTCTAGTGTTGAACTTAGTTATCTTATATAATTTAGACTTTTTACAAGAGGTATTTTGTGGTGTCTCAATCTTCCATGTTTCTTATTCACTTTTTCTCTTTTCCTTCCCTTTAACTCTCTTCAGGAAGTAATCCTTTTTATATCATCAGTAGGTATAGACTTGGTTGCTACAAGCCAAGACTGACTCCCACAGTTTGGAGTTTAGATTGTTTTAATTTCAGATAATTCTGCCTGCCCACTCTCACTCCATTCCAAAGTGCCACTTGACATTTTTGGGTGAATCTGTATTTGGCAAAACCTTGCTAGCTCCTATAAGACTTAATTTTTAAGTGTTCTATATTTCTAAAGATATTGGCCCTCTGCTCATGTCTCTGAAAAACAGACTATTAATCCATTTTCACACTGCTATAAAACACCCCAAACTGGGTAATTTATGAAGAGGTTAAGTGGGCTCAGTTCCACATGGCTGGGGAGGCCTCACAGCCAATGGTGGAAGGTGAAGGAGAAGCAAAGGCATGTCTTACATGGCAGCAGGCAAGACTCATGTGCAGGGGAACCACCCTTTGTAAAACCATCAGATCTCGTGAGACTTATTCATCATGAGAACAGCATGGGAAAAACCCACCCCCAGGATTCAATTAACTCCCACCAGGCCCCTCCCACTACACATGGGGATTATAGGAGCTACAATTCAAGATGATATTTGGGTGGGGAAACAGCCAAACCATTATCAGAGACACATTCTAATAAGTTCTTAACTGGAGGTTCTGGCAAGAAAAATATGCTGAGATTGCCAAGATCTACAGTAAGAATGAATCTTCTTTGAAATTGTGTAGGAGGAAAAACACATTTGTGGTAATTTTGCTGTCACACCTCAAACTGCAAAACCTACAGCCACAGTGTGTGATAAGTGCTTAGGTAAGAAAGAAAACGTATTACATTTATGGTAGAAGATGAGCAAATATGTTGTGACTGACAGCAGTCAGGTTCTATAGTTCTATACTATGGTTTCAGGCTTCCCCCAAAAGACTTAGAACACAGCCTGAGGATAAGATGGTGACTGCTATATTTGAAATATAATATTTGAGTTGATTCTTTATAATGGTCAATGGACAGACTGTCTAAAGGGGAAAAGTCGAGAGAAGTCAGGGAAGTAGTTGAAGATGACCGTTTTTGCCATGACTGAGCAGAGCCAGAAACAGGCTAGTCCATGATTTTTAGTGGAATACACACCTTGTTAAGAGCTCATGGGTGACTACTAAACCTCAGCTTTATGCCTACCCCAGCCCAAACTGTTCATTGTTCAGAGCCTTCATACCTTTCAAAAAAATGAAATCCTTAAAAATCCCAGGCAGCTTTCCAAATCCCATAAATGCCCCACAGTTGCTGGCATGTGGGTCACTTGTTTCCAGGCAGAGAATATTTAAACTCAAGGGCAATGATAAAGTCTTGTATCCTTCATTTCAAGTCTCTAGCAGCATATGCAATTTGTTTAGAAAGTGGTTACCTTTCCTGAGGACACACACCTCCCAACAACCTTCTGTAGGGCCCCCGTGACATCCTTGTTCCTAAGGCTGTAAATGAGTGGATTGAGCATGGGAGTGAGGATGGTGTAGAAGGCAGATACAGCTTTGTCCTGCTCAGGGGTGTGGTAAGAATGAGGCAGCACGTATGTGTACATGGCAGCCCCATAGAAGAGGCTGACAACCACCATGTGTGAGGAGCAGGTGGCCACAGCCTTTCGCCTCCCCTCTGCCTCGCTCATCCTATAAACAGTAATGAGAATTCTTGTGTAAGAGCCCGAGATCACAGAGAAAGGGATGAGGAGCATCATAATACAGCAGACATACATGGCTGTCTCGTAGGCTGATGTGTCCGTGCAGGAGAGCTTCAGAAGGGCAGGCACCTCGCAGAAGAAGTGGTTGATCTCCCGAGAGGCACAGAAGGGGAACTGCATGGTGACGGGGGTGAGCAAGAAACCATCGATAGACCCTCCCAGCCAGGCTGCCGCCACAATCAACCAGCAGATCTTGCGGCTCATGAGGTCAGGATAGTGCAGAGGGTTGCAGATGGCTACGTAGCGATCACAGGACATGAGTCCTAGGAGGAAGAACTCAGCCCCTGCTAAGGTCAAGTAGAGGAAGTGTTGGGCAGTGCATCCAGCAAAGGAAATGGCTCTCTGGCTCATCACCTGGTCGACCAGCATTTTGGGCACAATGGTGGAAATATACAGGATGTCCCTGAGGGAGAGCTGGCTGAGCAGGAAGTACATGGGGGTGTGGAGGCGGGAGTCTATGTGGATGAGAATGATCTTGACCACGTTGCTGGCTATGGAGGTCACAAAGACCAGGAGAATGAGGGCAAAGAAGCCAGGGGAAACGGGCGTTGCTGAACAAACCCAGAAGGATAAAGTCGGCATACACGGAATAATTGCTCTGCTCCATAGCTCTGTAGGGTACACGAAAGAGATATGATAAAGTTGGAAAGGTATCTGATTTACATAAAACATTATGATGTAGTCATGAAACCAAGGTCAAAATCTTATTTCTTGAAGCTCATAATTTCCCTGAGAGAACTGCCTGAGCAGGATTGTGCTACATCTCATTATACCATCATTGTTCATTTAAGGATTTTCTTGATTTGGTGATTACTATTTAGAGTTCATGATCAAACAATCTTTTTGTTCATGACCATTTATTTCTGTCTTTCGAGTACCACCTTACATTGGTGAGGATGCATATAAGACATAAGAATGGAACCAGCCTGATTCAATAGGATAGGGTGGTGGGGAGGAAAGGAGGATTGTCCACATCCTACACTGCTCTCCTTATACTAGACTCTAGTTCTCACACTTAGAATCCAGTTTGAAGATCACCACGAGTATATATTTGCCTATGGAAGAATAACTGCATTATTTGACCTAATTTACACCATTCTTGACACACTTGTACATTGTAAAATTTGAGTGCTCAACTTACATGTATCAGGTGGAGTATTGCAGAATGAGCCTGTGTTGAATAAAAAGAGCTGAGTTCTGAGAAGTCATCCAAGAATTCATAGGAGGAAAAATCATGGGAGAAAACGTTGAGGGTCAAGTGGTGTTTGCTTTCCTTCTTGCAGCAGCAAACTACCGATTATTAACATACAACTCGTTAAAATGTTAGAATCCCATTTAACTTATGAAAAAATAAACTAGTTTAAGTATTAGAGCTAGTGTATCCCAAAAGAAGGGATCTCTCAAACTTGAAGTTAGATTCTGCATATGTATCCATATCAGTTAAATATTTTACCACAATTTAGGACCACTTATGAGTTATTTGGATAGCTTCTCCCTGCATCATATAGATCTGCACTATCCAGGGTGGTAGCCATGAGGCTTATGAAGCTGTGGAGCCCCTGAAACACGACTGCTCCAAATCAAGATGTGCCATCAGCACAAAGTTAACAATTCAAACACCTGTTAAAAATATATGCAACACGTCTTCTTAAAACTTTATATTATGGTAACTTTTAGATATATTTGGATAATATAGATTAAAATTAGTTTCACCTATTCTTTACATTTTTAATGTGGTTACTAGAAAATTTAGAATTCTCTGTGGCTCCCCTAGGATTTCTACTAGGCAGCACTGGTTAGAGTTATTCCTGGGAATATGACAGCTCCAATTACCTTCATCCAAACAAGTCCTCCAGAATTAAACACCACAAATTAGAATTGAGCCAAAAAATTTAGGTGTGTACCAAATTAGAAAAATGGCTTTACTTGTATATGCATTCACCTGCAAATAGCAGTAAGAACATTAATAACTGATTCGTAAATTTTACATTTCCAAACAACTGTGTAAGATACTAGACCATTCTACAGTTGAAAATGAGGCTTAAGGAAACTTCCCCAAGGAGGAACATTGTTCTTTAAACAGTGACAGTATAATTTGTTCTATGCTGTTTTCCAACAGGACAAAGTAGACATCAATTCATTCCGTAAATATTTCCCGAGAGGCACATTGGGTAAGCCAAAGTTTGATATTCTGAAAGACCCTGAAAGAATGTAAGACATCATCTGTCTTCGAGCCTAGAATTGAGGCACATGAACGTGTGTTGTGTGACCACAGGTGCACTTTCAGAATGGTTTTAAGACCTCAGCAGTTTTGACTTACTTGGTATGTGAACAAAGGACAATAAAAATGATGGAAGCTGCAGCCCACTGGCTGGTAGACAGGAACTTCACACCAGGGCCCCTCAGTACATTCCACCACAACCATGCCACAGTGGATGGATGGAAAACGATGAAAATTCAGATTTTTACTGATGAAACCCACATTATATCCTTATGCATTTTTCAGTTCTCATTCTTGAAATATTACCAGCTTTATGCCAGGGCTTTCCATCAGCTGATTTATAATGTATCTTTATTATTTTAAAAACTGTTAAGCCAGTGGGAAAATTAAAGGCAAACATTTAGTAGCAATTCGTATGATGGAGAGTGCTGAATGCTCACCCAGACCTGGTTGTCCATAATTTAATAAGAACAAGATCCTTGGAGGGCCGTGCTTGTTATTTCACAGTAAATTCAGAGAATGGTGGCTACCTACTGGGGACCAGCCACAGTGACTGCTATTGGTCCACTGGGAATATTAAAGCCCAAGACGAAAAAATTGGTCCAAAAATATCCTTATCAGGGCAGCTGTGTCCTGAACCCTGACCATGAATACTCCTGGCCCTGAAACTTGCTAATGAGACTCTGGGGATCTCCCCAGCTTACTTCACAAAGGGAAAGGGGAGATATGAGTGGCTCCATAACCACTCAGATTTTACAACCATCTTCCAACTCTGGTAGTGTTGATTCATTCACTGTATTTTAAGAGTTACCCAGTATAGCAACATTTAAGAATACTTGGAAAATAAAGGAATCAACTGGATTATACCATGCCCCATGTAATAATTGTCTATGCATAATTCCAAACCTTAGTAAACGTCCAGTTCTATGTATACTTAATATTTAGCACATCTTTCCCAGTCTTTATAGAGACTATTGCTGTGATTGAATATGAGACACTCAGCTTGGTTCACATTCACGTTGTTGAGTTTGCTTATATGCAGTATTATGAGGTGAATTCTCTGGCATAATTCATGGACAATGGTTTACTATGCTTTAGAAGCTTATCACCAAGTTGTTAAATGCTTAACAGTAAGAGAACACACTTGCGGCAGCATCATGCTTGCCCCAGCATTTAGCACTAGTATCGAAACTCACAATATGGATTTGATTATGAAAAAAATTGAACATAGTGTATATTTTGGCTATTTTGATTTTTCATGACCTTTTCTATATAGGTGATTTGTCAAGATTATTAATAAAAAATAAAAATCTATAGACTATTCTTTTGTTCAATTTAGTGCAGCTATTTTGCCCCCCGAGTTACATACATGTAATTGTAACTTTGATGTTTAGGCCAAAAAGTTTTGAAATATTTCAGACATTTTCATTCTGTGTGCTGGATTTTTGAAAAAAAATATTTTCCATCGAGGTATGTGATTAATATACAATTTAAAATTTTTAATGTAATTTTCTATGCACTTAAAATCTTTGGTCTAGACATTAAAACTATGCAACCATTGGTTTATGAGATCAACCATGATAAATTTGTACTTTAAGATCATGCCAGTGAATTCTATCTAATTGGAGTTCTTCAAATAAGCAGGAGTTCAAGTGTGAATGATGAGCAGGAATGACCTAAGTAACAAGGAGAACTGTTGGAAATGTGGGAACACTGTCATGGGTAAAATTAGTTTTCACCCTTGTTGCATGTACAAATTCTGGTATAAAAAGCGAGTACTAAAAATGAGTGCCAGGTTAACCTTAAGACTGTGATAGCGACAGTTAGCTTTGGGAATCTCACCCTTTGCTGTCCATTATGTTTTTCTCTTCAATAGCAGGTCCAGCAGCAGGTAGCCAAGTTTTCTACTTTTTCATTTTTGTTGTCGTTCTGTCAGACCCTGCTCTGCATCAAAGATTGGCACAATTCTTGGTGACCATCTAACTCAGAATACGTTTGAGTGCTAAAAGGCTAAGCTAGACAGGACATGAGGACAACAGGCATAAGAAAGGGAATATCTTGAGAAAACAGGGCTAAATGGTGACCCTGACTATAAGACATTTAATTCTCTGTACAATCAGATTCATTATGTTTCCTCCCCAGCAGTATTTTCACATGAAGTGTCACTTCTAGAAAATGGCTTTTCTTCCACAACTAAAGTAAAATCACTTGGGGAATCTTTAGAACGATAGAGAAGTTTTGATTAAGGCCGAGGGATTGTCTTGAAGCAGACCAAGGGCATGATCACCTTCAGTCTCTACAGAAGTTGAACTGAGTTCTTCCCCTGTCTATTCCTAACCCTTGAAACATTCTTGGCATGTTTAATGTTCACAATGCTACATGACATGGTTTTTAATCAAAGCTGGCTTTATATTCTATCTTCATCACTGATAAGCTTCTGGACGTCTGGCAAGCCACTCACATTCTTTTCAGCTTCTGGGAACTTCTAAGTATTAAGTATGCTGCAATGGTTTCTCGGAGCAGGATATGGAGGGTCTTCCTAACTAAACCATTTTTAGAGATGCTTATGAGGTACCTAACAAGGTGGAATACTACGATTTAGATAAGCTCTTTATAAAGATTTTAAAATTATAGGTGAATATATGTTGCAATGATAAAAACTGTTGGAATCATTATGCAGACAGATCTGCATAGAATTCAAGTAATCTGCTACATTCTGATGTACAGAAAAGATAAGAGTCCATAACTACTAAGAAACGAGATTGAATTATCTAAGATTTGTATATTAGTACTATCCACAAGTATCTGCAGTTCAAAATCAGATGTATCAAACTTCAACATTCTCCAGTATTTCTCTGGTTTGAACCAAAACTTTCTAGTAAGTCCAGAATCTATTTAAAGCATCCTGCGATTGATCAGCATCAAGACTGCAAACTTACCTTACACAGTATCTTCCCCAAACACGATGATCTGAATATTTAGAGAGAAACCTTACAGAACTAAGGTAGTACATGCAATTGTTCAGCATTTCCTTTTATGTAGTAAGTATGGGGAACTAAGAGGCATACATCAGACTTTCTAAACTGGAGGTATTCTATGTTCTGTATTTCAAACTTGTTTTCTGAACTGAAACAGGGGAGTACAGGCAGGGAGAGTATGAATTCAAACAAGAAGGTACAGTGGATTAGGCGTGGGAATTACATCTTGTTGGCAGAAGGATAAGGGTCAGTCCCTAACTTATTGAGACTTTTTAAAATACAGTGATAGGTGAATCCTTTGAAGATCGAGAAATAGAACAGCCTGAATCTGTAAATGCCTAATGTCAGTTGACAGCAGCTGCATTATGCAGGCTGTTAAGATAGAGATCCAGTGACAAATAGAGCTTGCATCATGGTGATGGCTAGTACTCCCATTCAGGAGATACATTGACATCACTGTCTCTGGGGTCCTTGTCCCTAGCCTGCAATTACAGTTCATATAAAATGTGACAGACTCCTTAAGAAAAATGTAACCTCTCAATTTACAAAGTAAACACCCAAGATAAGTCAGGTTGCTGGCAGCTGCAACTTAAATTGCTTTTTTCTCTTTTACTTTGTTCACGACATTGTTTTGAAAGTTTCTCTTTTTACACTTCCAACTTTCAGGCATCTCTCTTGAAATAGAAATCAATGTTTCTAAGGAAGTATTGTCTTGCAAAAGATACATTTTGGGCCATTCCCCATCACTCAAGTATTAGTATGTAATCATCCTGTCTTTCTTGTAACTTGTAATACATAAAACTTTCAGCATTGCAAGCATTTAAAAATATTCATTTTACTAATCTCAGTGTATATAAGATCTTTGAGTTACTTCAAGAAGACAGACCTTTTCTCATCCAGTATTCTCAAAAGGGCCCACAACGATTCCTGGGGGGAGCGGGAAGGGTGGGGGGGAATTTTAGACCCTGCAGTCTTGTTGTGCTGCAATCTATGCCTGCATGATCTTGGCTTTCATGTAATTCATATTTACCTCACTGGTGTTTAAGTTAGTGGGGGTTGGAATTCAGGTTTTCTGAGGCTGAAGCTTATGCAATCTGGGGCATCTTAAGAAAACAGGCTACAAATCATGATTGCACAGGTATAATATTCTCTTCAGTGAAACTCCAACAAAATTACACCTTTAGAAAGCTGACAAAATACCACGAAGAAATACATAAACACCTCAACTTAAATCTTAACTGGTTGAACTTACCACTTTTACCATTTTTTCCAACAACTGGCTACATTACTATGTACTCTAATATTTTCTATAAGCAAGAAGAGATGATTCAATCCTAGTATGGTTGGTTGAAATTTTTTAAGTTTTTTGGTAGTTTAGAAAATTCTTTGGGTCTTTCCCCTTTGTTTAGGATTGAGGTCCAATCTGAGAAAGCCACTGTTAAATTACTTTCATATATGACCTGCCTTAGCTTCCCCAAAAGCTGACCTTAGAAAATATTTGAAACTGAGAAAAATGATTCAGAGCAGTCTGAAGAATGTGAGCTTTACAAAACGTCTTAGGCTCAGAGACGCGAGCATGAGAATTCAATAACTTCCCTACCCAGCCCTGCTCACACATGCGCACCTGGGGTTGTTTAAAGGAATTTTATACTTCCCCCCGCTCCCCCGAAGTTTCCAGACTAGCTGATAAGTTACCTAAAATGTTACAAGTTGTACAATATGACCTTTACCAACCATCTTCATGTTCCCTACAGAGAATAGTGTATAGCTTATCAATAGCTACAAAAGAACAATGTCTAGTTGATCAATAGTTTATGTCAGCTTAGAACTTCCCTTTTCCCTTAGAGGCCCCATTATAACTGCTGTTAGTTGGAGCATTTATTTAAGGCTACTAGAATCTGTCTCCTCAGATTGCATTTCCCAATCTTGGTCCAAATATGCGTGTTAACTTTGCCTCAGTTTTTTCCTTTAGGTTGATACAACCATCACCACCATCCATCTCCAGGACTTTTTCCTCATCCCAAACAAATCTTCTGTACCCATTAAACATTAACTGTATTTTCTCCTTTTCCTCATCTCTGGGGTAAGGTGTATTCTGTTTCTGTGGATTTTCCTCTTCTAGGTACTGTAGCAAACCTGTACAATTGCTACTTGAGACGGTCACTACCGCAGTTACTGTTACTGCTTGAGATGCTCATTACAGGACTGAGCGAAGGGAGGTAGAAGTGGGGGAAAAACACTGTTCGAAGGCTAAGCTCGGGGAAGAAGAGCTCCCAGCTTCTAGTGAGCAAGGGCAGCCGCCCCAGCTTCTCAGCACTCCGCATGGATCGAGTAGGAGCAGGGAGGAGGACGCACGATTGATCAGCTGCGTGACTGATCGCAGGTGCACATGGTTGCGATCGGACTTTCCCACGCACCTAATGACACACTCGTGCCTGCGCGTGACGCCCTCCGCTCCACCTCCGCGCGGAAACGCAGTCTCTCAGTTTGCCAACATTCTGCATTTGTGAGAAGCAGTTTTGCTGCTTACTCGTCCGGCCTCCAGTGGTAAACCGAGCCGATCGCGACCCTCGCCCTTTCGGCCTCCAACCCTTTTTTAAATTATGTCTGTCCCTGTATTATGGGGGTTGAGGTCAGCGGGACTGCGGTCGGCCCTCGGTCCCGAGGGCACCCACACGGTTCATCTCCTGTAAAGACACAGGCATGTCCTGTCCCCACGTTAGTAACTCTACAAAAGCAAAAAGCTTTCTGGGGCTGCAGCCGGGAGCCAGGCCATTGCCGAGGCCTCCGCTCCACAAGCTGCGGCGCAGCTTCTGCCTCTTGGCCTAATTGCTGCGGGGTAAAACTTTCCGTTGATAGTGAAAGCAGCTTTTTCTGATGAACAGAAGGCACAGAGAAAACAAGTTGAGGCTTATCCTTCTCGTGCAACAGTGTAGCAAAAAAGCAATCCTTAAACCTTCCATTTGCACTTACACAGGCGGGTCTGTTAGATGCTGTGGGTTGTGATAGCTTTCTCCCAGCTGTACTTGCAGATGCCTGACCTCCTCGCTTCTTACGTAGAGAAGGGTACAATTTACAGGGGATGAGCAACAGCTGCGCAATATATTCTCCTGCTTCAAAACCCAGAGATCTTGGGACATGACCGCTACCTGAATTTCTCCATAAGCCGAAGAACTCCTGGGACTTCAGTAATGCCCCGCAAGTTAAGATGACTTCTGCCTAAAATTAATCCCACCTATCCTGTTGGCAAAGGTCCCAAACGCCAGTGTGAGTCAGGTTGCTTTCCCCCCCAAGGCCGGTTGCTTTCCCCGCCAAGGCCGGTTGCTTTCCCCCTCCAAGGCCGGTTGCTTTCCCCTAAACCCGTTCATTTGGGAGATCTAATCCTGGGCTTCCTGGTGCTTGAGGAGGGGGAGTCAAAGCACCTCCAGAAACCCCCCTGAAACGGAGTTGCGGCCTGGACTGGGGAAGCCCCCTTGTTCGAGGTGCCCAGGTCCAGGCCCGCTTCTGGTTTCCCCACAGGGAGTGCCGTTCTGGTCAAATATAGAGTAGCATTGATTAGCCTAGTGATTTCCCTTATTTCAACGAGGGCAAAGTCCTGGCACTTTTTCTGTTGAGAAGAGAACTGTTTTAAAGACCCCTTCTGCCCAGAGGTCTGACGGCATTCTCTTTTGCAACGTCCGATTCTCTACACTTACAGCTTTTCCACTCTAGGGCTCAACCCTTGGCTCCTTTTAGATCCGTCAACTACCAAAATTATCCGTTGCCTGAATCAACATTATAAAGTAGTGAAGCTCAGTTCCCACATCTTGAAAAACTAAGAAAACCTCCTGAACTTTCTGCACACCTCACAGGTGCCACTGCACGTTCCCAATCCACATTTGTAGCCTCATAAGCCATAGTCAAAGTGAGCATTTCTGTAGCCACAAAAGATGCTGCCAGCCAGTTTTCATTCTCCCTCGTTTACCACTTTTGATAGGTGCTCTAAGTGGGGCAAAATAGTCTCTCCGGCCCTGAAATAACAGAAAAGGTATGTACCAAACTCCAAATGAAAGAAAAAAATAACCAAATTCTTCCCCATGCTACCCTGATTCAAAAACTTCCCGTTCTTCAAACCTCTGGGGCACTGACAAGTACCTTTTTAGAGCACTAGCCTTATGTTGCTGCTGGCAGACTTGTAATGGGGCTTCTCGTTTGTCTGGCTAGTTTTAGTTTCTGTTCCAGCAGACCTTCCTCGTTCAAGTCTCTATAGGACCCTGTCTGTCCCTGCAAGTTTCTGCTGGTCTCTGCTAGTCTTTATCTATCCCTATCTGTCCCCATGGTCCCTGTTAGTTCCTGCAAGTTCCTGTCTTTCCCTACCTATACTCTTTCTCTCTATCCCTGCTAATCTATTTATCCCTCCAGGCCTCTTCAGGTCTATACTTGTCCCTAGATGCCCCTGTTCAGGCACCACTTGTGACAGACTTGTACAATTACTACTTGAGACCATCATTACAGGACTGAATGAAGAAATGAACGTAGAAATAGTAACAAAAGACAGAAGAAAATGGTTTTAAGGAAAGGCTCGCTTAGGGGAAGAAGAGAGATCCCAGCTGCTAGTCAGTAAAGGCAGCCGCCCGAGCTTCTCAGCCCTCCGTATTTATTGGGTAGAAAGAGCAGGGAGGAGGATGTCACAATTGGTCAGCTACTTGATTGATTACAGGTTCACATCATTGCTATCAGACTTTCAGACGTACCTAATAACAAGAAACACTTGTGCCTGGGGCGTGACCGCCCTCAGCATAACCTCTGTGTGGCAAACGCAGTTTGTCAGTTTGCCAACATTCTGCATTTATGAGAAGCAGTTTTGCTGCTTACTCACCCAGCCTCCAGTGGGGTACTCAGTTGATCACGACCCTCACTCTTTCGGCCTCCAACAGGGTACCTCAAATGAGTAGAATCATACAATATTTGCCTTTATACTTACTTCACTTCATTTTCAGGGTTCATCCATGTGGCAGAAAATATCAGAGTTTCATTCCTTTTGAAGGCAGAATAGTATCACATTGTTTGTATATATCACATTTTGCTCATTTATTTGTCTATTGATGGACACAACCTTTTGGCTATCGTAAATAATGGAGCTATGAACTCTGTTGTACAATTTTCTGAGTTCGTGATTTTAATTCTTTTGAATTTCAAAAATAATTTTGAAATTCTTTTGAATGGTATCTTCTATAAGTTGAGACATACACATTTGTTGTGTAAGTCACTGAGATTTTGGGGTGTTGTAGGTAAGTCCTATGAAGGACTCAGTGTGAGCAGACTGGTGCACTGTTCTCCCTTTTCATGGATGCATAGGAATATGGTTGGGGCTAGAATGACAAAACACTGGCTATTTACCTTGAAATACTTTAACATAATAATAAAGGGAGTTTAAAAAGGAACTGATTGTTTGAGATACTGAAGAAATAGAAATAGATTCAGAGATTAATGAAGATAGATACTTAGAGCCAGAACTACAGTTAGAGATATAGATTCAATGTTCTCTCTCTCCCAAGATAGACAGATAGCTAGATAGATAGCCGGAGGATATGAATACAATCTGGCAAGCTGATTCTTAAAATGATGATCAAAGAGCCAAGAATAGCAGCCAAGATAATGTTAAATAAGAACAATGCAGATAAATTGTCATACCAGAAATTCAGATTTACTTTCAAAGTTAAACTGTTAAACAGTATACAACTCACACATCACAAGACAAATAAACCAAAAAAAAAAAAAAAAAGAATAAAGAGTTCAGAAATAGGTCCATGTATCTACAGAAATTTTATGAAACCTTATTTCATCTGACAAATGTTTGTCGAATTTATACTATGTACAGCCATCTGTTGAACTATTAAGACCCTTGGGATATATTTGTTTGCAAAATAGGTGCCTGTCCTCATGAAGCTGCCCATGTAGCCCAGAGGCAGTGAACAATAACAAACAGAAGAAAGAAGTTAACTATATAGTCTGTCAATGTCAAATGGTATAGAGAAAGGGAAAAAGTAGATTAAGAGAGAGAAAGAATTGCTGAAGCTGTGGTAATGTTTGTTGCTTTTTACAATGTCATCGATAGTACAGATCTCTTTGGAAGGATAACATTCATGCAGTCTTGAGGACATAAAGAATTTAGCCCTGAAGAGAGTGTTGGGGTGGGAGGGATCCCAAGTGGAGAAAAAAAAACAAAACAAAACTGGTAGGACAGGCCTGAGGTGAGAGTGTACATGGCTTATTCAAAGAATGACAAGAAGGCCAGGATGGCTAGAGCAGTGAGGGAAACAGTGGCACAAGCAGACATCTAAGAGGCAATGGGGCAGAGGAGCATGTAAAAGGGCCCTGTAGAGCTTCCTGTAAGAATTTTAGATTTTACTCCCAATAAACGGTGAGCTGCAGTGGGGTTTTAATCACCAAAGTGGCATGATCTGACGTTTCTTCAACTGCTGCTTTAGAAATAACCCTTAGAGGATTTAGGTAAAGCAGGAACATATTGTAGAAATGGTTGGAACCTAGGTGTCTTCTGAAGGTAGAGCCAACAGGATTCCTTTACTAGTTGGATGTCAGTTTCAAGGGAAAGAGAAGCACCAGGGGCAACTCTAAGGGCTTGGATTGAGCAACTGAAATTATGGACCTCCTACCAGTGGGCCTAAGGAAAGACGCAGTTGCAGGAAGTTTAGGGTGGGAAGACAGAGGCACAGATCAGTTTGGTGAATGCCAAGTTTGCTTTGAACTGCAGTCATTAATACATAGATATTATTATATAGATACATGTTTATAGCTAAGAACCCCAATGAGCTTAACAGAGAAAAGGTACAGGAAAAAAAAGAAGAGGACCCATAACTGAGCTAGGAGCCCTCCAGTATTAAGAAGTGGGCCTGGAGAAATGACACAAGGAGAAAAAAAATTAAAAGGAAAAACAAAACAATGAGTTAGGAAAAGCCATCAGTATGGTGTACTTGAAGACAGATGAAAATGCAACAAAACAAAACAAAACACACATCTTCAATCGAGGGAATAGACAGTTATATCAAAACAAGGAAAAAAACAGACAAACAAAAACTGTGCTGATGGCCCTGAAAGATTTGATTTATCCACATAAAGATCATTGAAATGAGAGGTAAATATCCTGAATAGAGAGGACAGTGGAGGAATTAGGGAGACCAAGAGCAGGCAAAGCTTTTGTGGAATGTGACTATAAAGGAGACAGAGATGTCACTGCAGATCTGGGAAAAATAAATTTATCAAGTTGTATTGGGAAAATTGTTTGTTCATATGGGGAATGGAAAATTTGCCTAAAGTCACATACCACAGATATGTTTTAGGCGGGTTAAAAACTAAAAGGTGAAGAAACAAACAAAAAAAAAAACTATGAGCTTTTAGAAGATAAGATAGGATAATATTTTCTTGACTTCAGCTTGTGAACAGATTAGTTAAGACACAAAAAGAACTAATATAAAGTAAAATGTTGGTAATTCAATTTACAAATAAATAAAATTTAAACACTTGGATAGGTCACAAACTAGCAGATGTGTAACAAAACTGAAAACAAAATATCCAGCACATGTATAAAAAAATTCTTATGTGTCTATAACAAAAGGCCAAAATTTGATAGCAAATGGGAAAAATACTTGAATAGGTACTTTACAAAAGAGAAACTCTAAATGGCTGATAAATCAAAGAAAAGTTACTCAACCTCATTATAAGTCAGAAAAATATATACCCATCAATTCTACCCATAGGTATATGCACTATGTTTTTTGCATTTATATATGAAAACATAAGGACATAAATGTCAATAGCAAAAACATTCATAATAGCCCCAAGCTGAAAATAACATACATACCAAATAACTATAGAATAAATATATCAATTAAGATATTCAATGACATTGCATATGCTAAGGAAAATGAGCAAACTATACAAGATAATGAGCTGAATATCACAAAAATTATATTTAGCAAAAAAGTCAAAATAATATATTCAAAGTAACTTCATTTTTAAAGTTCAAAATTAGGCAAGAGTAAACTCTGTTGTTTACAGATAGATACCGTATTAGTCCGTCCTCATGCTGCCATAAAGACATACCTGGGACTGGGTAATTTATGGAGAAAAGAGGTTTAATTGACTCACAGTTGCTTAGGCTTTACAGAAAGCATGGCTGGGGAGGCCCCGGGAAACACACAATCATGGGGGAAGGTGGAGGGGAAGCAGGTACAATCTTTACAAGGCTGAGCAGGAGAGAGAGAGTGAAAGGGGAAGTGCTTCACACTTTCAAGCAACTAGATCTCAGGAGAACTCACTCAGAATCATGAGTACAGCAAGGGGGAAATCCACCCCAGGATCCAATCACCTCCTACCAGCTACCTCCCTGAACACTGGGAATTACAATTCAACATGAGATTTAGGTGGGGACACAGAGCCAAACCATATTGATACATAAGATGTAAAACTATGAAAATAATAAAGGAAACTAGTCACCTATCAGCTAAACAGACAGTACCTGATTCATTCAGGCCAAAATGTGAAAGTATTACTAACCACAGGTTCTTGGGCTCCTGTGCAATAGAAATGGACATGAGACCAAGCAAGTTTTCCAGACAAGGCTTTATTAAGGGCTTGTGCTCGAACACAAGGGAGACAGCACTGGAATGACAGTTCTCTGGCTGGTTCCCCATGGCTAGGCCTTTGCTGTGTTTTAAGATGAGTGACATGGATAATCATGAGGTATGGGAGGCTCTTTATACATGTGGAGTGGAGCACAGGATATGCAGGCACAGTGAGAAATTATGTGAACACATACATTGCATGATCAAAAAATGGTGGGTAAGCCCTTCCCTGGGTGGAGATTTTAGTATTATAATGAAGCAAGGGGTAAAGATCAGTCATTCTTCTGGTCTTATGCACATGTGAGTGATAAGGTTAACTCCCTTGAATAAGATTTATGGTGGAATGCTGCTTATCTTAGTTTCTTCAAGTTATCCATGCAGTGGGTATCGTGCCAGTGGAGGTGGTGGTGCAAGGTCTGGAAGTTGGCAGGTACGGGAAAAAAAATGTGATAGTAGGAGTGGGGGCCAAGCCCTGTCCTTACTGTGTTTCAGAAGTAGGTTATGTGTATTGATACAGTTCAGACACACATTGTATCCCTGATATAATGAACTGATACAGTTCAGACACACCTCATATCCCTGATATAATGAACTGATACAGTTCACAGACACACATTGTATCCCTGATATAATGAACTGATACAGTTCAGACACAACTCATATCCCTGATATAATAAACGGATACAGTTCACAGACACACATTGAATCCCTGATATAATGAACTGATACAGTTCAGAGACACATTCTATCCCTGATATAATGAATGCATACAGTTCAGACACACCTCATATCCGTGATATAATGAACGGATACAGTTCCGACACACATTCTATCCCTGATATAATGAACTGATACAGTTCAGAGACACATTCTATCCCTGTTATAATGAATGCATACAGTTCAGACACACATTCTATCCCTGATATAATGAATGCATACAGTTCAGACACACATTCTGTCCCTGATATAATGAACGGATACAGTTCAGACACACATTCTATCCCTCTTAGTGATGCTAAGCCTAAGAATCTAGGAGTATAGAAACTTTAGCAAAATCCCGTATAAATGGACTGCATGGACCACATGAGCTGTGTTGTGACTTCCCTGTGAATGAGATGGGTCACACCATAAGATGATAGTATCAAAACTTTGCAAAGTTTATAATTAGTGGTACAGGGGGCGGGGGTGGGGGGGAAGTAAGACATTTTTTCCTTGCTCATCAAAAGGTTCGTGGTTGGTAACTTCTAACAAAAGACAGATTAGCAACAGAAAAGTATAGCAAATTTACTTAGTAGAAGTTTCATGAGGCATGCGAGCCTTAAAAGTATGATTAGAACATTTAAAAATATGATATAATGGAAATAAACTTAGGAGGAGGACTTAGCGAGGTTTGTTCAGATTCTTAGTGGCCTCCCCATGTGACATTTTTTTCCCTCTGGGCATTGGTCAGGGCCCCTCTGGAATAAAGGGCTTATTACCTTCTCTCAGAACAGGTAGGTCTGAGAATTCTTTTGTGGACAGCTCTCAGGGGAGAAGGGCAGAAAAAATCAGAAAGTGACTTTTCTACCTCTTCGGTTTTCTCAGTTTTCTTCAGCTTATTTAGTATGTCAAGTTTGCATTTGATGAAAAAGCTGAACACTGTAAAATATTTAAAGAGGTTTATTCTGAGCCAATATGAGTGACGATGGCCGGGGAAAAGCCTCAGAAGATCCTGAGAAAGTGTGCCCAGGGTAACTTCTGTCTCCCTAAAACTTAGGGAAAGAACTTGCAGGCAAAGTCATAAATCAATACATGTAAAATATACATTGTTTCAGCCTGAAAAAGCAGGACATGAAGTGGAAGGCTTATGAGTCATAGGTGGATGCAAAGATTTTTCTGATTGGCAATTGGTTGAAAGAGTTAAACTAAAGACTTGAAGTCAGTAGAAAAAAATGTTTGAGTTAAGGTAAGGGAGTTTGTGGAAGCTAAGATTCTTGTTACATATATGAAGCCTCCATGTAGCTGGCTTCAGAAAGAATAGATGGTAAATGTCTCTTTTTGGACCTTAAAAGGTGTGAGCCTCACAGTCTATCTTTCCTGGATCTGGAAAAGGCCTAGCTGCACTAATGGCAGATGCAAAATTTCCCCCACAAAAGATAGCTTTGCAGGGCCATTTCGAAATCTGTCATATAAATATATTTTGTGGTAAAATATTTTTATTTCTTTCAGTGTCTACTATCTGTCATGTGATGCTATATGGGAGTCAGGTTGGAATTTGGTATCTTATTGTTTTGTCAGTCCTGTGATCTCTATTTTAATGTTAATTCCACAATGGAGGGAGTGCAACAAGGTGTGCCCAATCCCCCTTCCCTCATGGCCTGAAATTTACTTTTTCAGATTGCTCTCAGCTCCACTGGCCAAGAAGGGGAATCCATTCAGTTGATTGGGGGGCTTAGGGTTTTACTTTTAGATTTCATCAAGAAGCCATATTTGGAAGGATCTTGTTCTGAGCCCTGACAGAGGAGTTTAAAATTTTTCACATCTGTCTATTAATTCATCATAGACTAAACTAGTTTACGCAGTTAAATAAAATAATGAACTATTTCAAAACAAAATTTGACTCTAGTAGACAGTGTCTGCACAATCATAGCAATCCAGTTGTGAAAAATGTTATAAAAGAACCAAGAAATAACCATGTGACTACAAAACAATGAGGGATTAGGCATCAGAAGACTGAAAATAAGCAACATACTTGAGTGTACTCTATTTTCCATCTCTCTGATTTTATTGTATTTACTCTTGCATTCCATGAGACAGTGTTTCTGCCTCTATCCAAAATTAGACCTCCTACTTGGGCTCTGTGTTGCAACCTCAGAAAATAGTAATAATAATAATAATAAAATAAATCCCAAGCCCTGTAGTTGACTGAATGGGAACTCTCTTGCCCAGGGAGATCTCAAAGAAATCTGAAAAACTAGTTCAGGCCATGACAGGAAGGGAGGTCAGACATGACTCCTTGTACTCCGTTTGTTTGGAGTTTAGGTACAACTGACCAGCATTAACATTAACACAGTGATTATAAGACGGACAAAACAGACTGTGGCAACAATAGCAAATTCCAACCTGACTCTGATATAGAATCACATGACAGATAACAGGCCCTGAAGGAAATAAAAGTATTTTACCGCAGAATGTATTTCTTTGACATGTTTTGGAATGGCCCTGCAAAGCCAACTCTTCTGGGGGAAATCTGAATTCTGTATAGAATCTGCTTCCCTTTCTATGTCTCATAAGGATCCAGAAAACATTTAACTAAGAGTCTGACACCTTTTACCATCTATCCTCTCTGAAGCCTGCTACTGAGAAGCTTTCATAGGTGGATTAAAAAGTTTTTTGACTGGCAATTTGTTGAAAGAGTTAAGCTAAATACTTGTGGTCTCTAGCATTTCCATTGAGTGCTAAATGACTGACCAGCATTAACATTAAAACAGAGATCATGAGACTGACAAAACAGATTATAGGTGGTAATAAGATACTAAATTTCAACCTGACTCTCATATAGCACCACATGACAGATAGCAAACCATGAAGTAAATAAAAATACTTTACCCTGAAATATATTTATTCGACAAATTTTGAAATGGCCCTGCAAAGCTATCTTTTGTGGGGGAAATTTTGCATCTGTAGAGAAACTTTATTAATGCCGCTAAGCCTTTTCCAGATCCAGGAGAGAGTAACTAAGAACCTGACACCTTTTAAGGTGAAAGAGAGACATTTGCCAACTATTGTTTCTAAAGCCTGATACATGGAAGCTTCCTCTACATGACAAGAACGTTGGCTTCCGCAACCCCATTATCTTAACTCAAGCGTTTCTTTCTATAACAAAAACCTTGGCTTCCACAACTATGTAATCTTATGCATTCCTTTCTACTGACGTTTTAAGTCTTTAGACAAAGCTTAACTCAACCAATTGCCAATCAGAAAATTGGTGAATCTATTTCTGACCTGGGAGCCTTGACTTTAACATGTCTAAATTTTCTGGAACCAATATATACCCTTCATGTATTGATTTATCTCTTTGATTATAACTTTGTCTCCCTAAAATGTATCAAACCAAGCTATAACCCAACCACAATGGGCACATATTCTCAGGAACATCTGGGGTTGTGTCCTGGGCCATGGTCACTCATGGCTCAGAATAAACCTCTTCAAATATTTTAGAGTTTCACTTTTCTTCATCAACATTATTTGGTGCCCAATGCAGGACCTCAGAGAAGACTAAGGACTCTCCTCCCCAAAAGAAGTTGTGTGAACTTGGAAATAAGGTACCAATATGGGCTTGTTACCAGTGGAGGGTCTTGACTACAAGTTGTCCAGGTCCTGCTTCCAGACCTTGGTGTTTTCTCTTTTAGGAAGTTAGCATAAATTGGCCTTAAGTTCCCTGTCTCCAGGTCTCCAGATCATATTCTCCTGCTGCAGGCTCATTGAAAGCCTCCTGACTTTGAGCTTCTCCATAGGTGGAACTGGTAAGTAAGTCTTCCTGAGCCACAGAACCCTTACGTGGTTAATAGTACTTTGGTTTATTCTGAGCTGGTCTTTTCCTGGGAACTTGTTGTTTCAGATTCTAATTTTGGATTCACAGGTTCATTCTAGAGTCTTCTCATTGCTTTTTTCTCCAAAAATTAGTCTCAATTGGTTCATCTGTGCATTTGCTTGAAAAACCTGACTTTGTGTAAATGAATGAGAGACAGCTTCTGAGCCCCACTGCACTGAAACCCACACTACAGTCTGGCTCCTCCATTAAAAAAAAGAAAACCTGGGAAGCAAATCCTCTAAGATTGAGAAAAGACAAGGAGATGACCTCCTTTGGGGCACCCCTGGGGGTTTTATGGCACTCGCAATTGTTTGTGTAAATGTGAAGTTTTGAGAGCATGCTTGGTTTTCTAGTACTCTGGCTGGTTATGTATTATAGTCTGTTCTGGCACATTTGTAAACTGATGGGTAAATTCAGAGCTCAAAGTTGACCTGCAACTATAGAATTAAATATGGCATCTGCTTAGTTCTTGATTTCTCTCTTTTCTTTTTCTGTTTTAAATGTATTGTTGCTTTTCTACTGGTATTGAGATAAAACCCATTGTTTAAATTAAACCATCTTTTGCAAGCTGGTGAATCTGTATTGCTGTCTTGTGACTAGAATTCTGAAATAAAATCTATGGGATCTTTGTATCCGTGTATCTATGTTGAGTTGTGTTTATGTTACATGTACATGTATTTTCTTATATGTTGTAACTGCAAGGTATCAAATGGGCTTAAAAATAAAGGATTACTCATAAACTAATAAAGTCCAAATGCTCTTCAAGTTCACATGACAAGTAAATCTTCAATAAGTAATCTGGTTTTATAATTATTAGTAAAATAAAATTTGAAATGCCTTCAGAATTGTCAGCGTACATTTTTGTCTGGATTTATTGGTAAAATAGTTTTGTATTTAGCTGTGTTGATATTATAAAGTACCAAACTTTGTCATGAAGGTTATAAAACTATAAAACCCATCCCTTAATGATCTTTGCATAATTTTTTATAAATAAGACATTTAATATTGTTGATTTATTGAAAATAGGTAAAACCTTAGCTGGCAAAAAAAAAAATCAAATAAACATATATTTAACATTTAGGTTCTTATGTAGGTAAACACCTGAAATAAACACAGCCTATAAGAATGGTTAGCTGAAAATAACTAATGATGACTAGCTTTGTCTAATATGTCAGTTTTTATAAGTAACCTAGGAAAACTATTTTAAAAAATAAGTTAGTTAACTTTAATGGGATAAGTGCTTATAAATGAACTTGTCATATAATTTAAAATCTTAAAGTTAAATTAAATAATACTCATTTAGTGTCTGGATCACTTCTAATTTAAAAAACAGAAAAACATATTTCTAAAATAATATAAAACGGTTCTCATCTATAAAATACTGATATATGACAGACAATTCAAGATTTACTACTTCCTAGGTTTTCACAAAAAATTAAGGTTACTAAGAATAAAAATTCTTGTTAATATATAATTCTGTATTCAAAGAGTGCCAAAGTAAGTTTTTTTATGAAAAAGAAATTATAATAAAGACATAAAAATATGTTCTTATTAAAAGGAAAATAATCTTTGTCAAATTCAAAGGCTATTATACAAATCCAAAGATGTATTTATTTTAAAAATTGGGTAAAAAGAATAATTTTGTATGAGAAAGAGTCTTGTATAGTAAATTTAGTCCTAAAAAAAAAAAAAACTCGTTATTTAAGAAAGAGGGAAATTTTGGACAAAACAGAAAGTCCAAGTATGTCATAAATAGTCTGTGTAAGATATGATAAAGTTTATAAAGAGAATTTATGAAAGAAATGTTTTGGAGGCTAAAGCTACTCTTTCTTAGATGGGAGGCTCAAGTAACTCCATCTTGAATGGTGATCTGCCCTGTTGGCTTCTGATTAACTCCAGGTGGGAAGACCTTTAAGATTTCCAGTTTATTTATTGCTCCTTGTGTAAGAACAGGTACTTATTATAAATCCTGCCCTTAGGACAAACAACTTTTACATTATCATACTTCAGTTGTCCCACATATGCCTTCTGAATCATTCCTTCTCTATGGCATATAAGCCCTGGGTTCTGGGGTTAATGGCACAGGAATTTACCATCTTATCTCACTGCTGCCTGAGACACAGACATGGCTTCTGTTCATAAGTCCCTATTAATTGTTTCTGCCTAAGAAACTGTATTTATCAGCCTCTTTCTTCAGCATCTCAGCTTCCTCCAACTTTGGATAGGTTTGTATAGACCTGCTCACTGCAAAACAATTTTGTATGTGATTAAGCTGGTGATAATTTAAAAAGAATTATTCGTATTAGTGTTTTTAGAGATTGGGATTTAATATTAAAAATACACAAATAGAAAAACCACCTATTGGGTACTATGCTTATTACTTGGGTGATGAAATAATCTGTACACCAATCCCTTGTTACATGCAATTTACCTATATGACACCTACCCAAGTACCCCCCTGAACCTAAAATAAAAGTTCATAAAATACATGAATATAAAACTGACGAATTGGTTAGAACAAATATATTTTCTTAAAGTATTGATTTACTTTTGATGAAATTACAAAAAGCTTTACATTTTTAATTCTATAATCTCTTTTTGAAATTTCTCTGAGGCCAGGCATGGTGGCTCACGCCTGTAATCCCAGTGTTTTGGAAGGCCGAGGTGGGTGGATCATGAGGTCAGGAGATTGAGACCATCCTGGCTAGCACGGCGAAACCCTGTCTCTACTAAAAATACAAAAAATTAGCTGGGTGTGGTGGCGGGTACTTGTAGTCCCAGCTACTTGGGAGGCTGGGGCAGGAGAATGGCGTGAACCCAGGAGGTGGAGGTTGGAGTGAGCTGAGATTGCGCCACTGCACTGCAGCCTGGGTGACAGACCGAGACTCCATCTCAAAAAAAAAAAAAAAAAAAAGAAAGAAATCTCTCAGATTGATATTTCAGAAGCTTAACTCCTGATATACCCCACTGTTTTCAGCTTTTCTCCCTTTGAGAAGGCCTGGAATGGTAACTCCCTCTTTTAACTTTTGTTGTCTCCTATAACTATTTTTTTCTTCAATTCTAACTGTGTTATAGCCTGATACTAAAATGTTTTCTTTTGAAGATTTAAAAAAGTGATGTCTTCCTCTGTTGTAACTTAATTTGTTACTCTTGACTTTTCTTAAAATGTGTAGGGGCCAGGGTCC
Source organism: Homo sapiens (assembly GCF_000001405.40). Taxonomy (NCBI): domain Eukaryota; kingdom Metazoa; phylum Chordata; class Mammalia; order Primates; family Hominidae; genus Homo; species Homo sapiens. The sequence continues at coordinate 74,247 of NT_187518.1, read as the reverse complement.
CTTTGAAGGTTCACTGAAAAATCAACTCAAAAAAGACAGATTCATTGAGAAGCAGATATGCAGTTTTTTGGGCATGTATACATGGGTGTGCTCAGAACAAAGATCCAATAAATGGGGGAAATTGTGCATTTTTATGCTTAGGTTCAAAAAATTAGGGACATCCATCTAAAAATATGATGGAAAAGGGTATAATTCAATGTTAGTGGACTGTGTGGGGAAACCCCAGCAAGACCTGCCTGTGTAGATTCTTCTTAACCTCCTTGAACATTCATTTTCTTCCTTCTCTGTGTGGGGGTCTTGCACTCTACAGTTCAAAAGGAAGATCAGATAATATCCTTATGTTCTTTCACAGAAAGGCAGAGAAAATATTGGAGTAATATTTTTAGGTTTTATGGCTGGCTTTGAGAAAAAGGAGTTTCAGTTTTGAGGACTCATCTTGGGAAAGCGAGATTCTAGTTGCTATGACCCGCCTTGAGGGAGCATGGGACTTGCAAACAGGAAGCCAGAAGAAGGCCAAAGAAAAACTTTTACTTCTGCAGCTGCCTCTAAATCCTTCATTTTGGGATATTGTTTTCTGAGCTCTAACATAGGTTTAAAAGTGCTCAGTATACCCAGGCAACATCCCATGCTGTTGCTAAGAGTCACATATTCCCCTGCTCAAGGTCTCTATAACAGTGTTCACTCATGACATGGAACACACTCTTCCTGTGTCTGATTAATTCACATTATCTTTTCATGAGGCTTGACTTTCAGGTTATCCAAATGGGCTTCCAATGACTCAAAACAATCACTCTGCATAAGGTTTTTCTTTACTTTTTGACAGCTAGCCTAGGAAATACAGATTTTAAGATAATTACTGTGTTGTTATAAAACCCTTAACCATTTTAAAACCTAAAAGTATAGGTTTAAAACCAGGTAGGGTTTTATATTCATGTAACTTTCTATATTGCTTTTGAAGTCTTTTGATTACCATTCTGGTTAAATGAATAACTATTATTTTACAATGACTTTTGATTCATTTTAATCAAATGTTTTGAGCCTTTCAATATCTTTTGACAAACATCCTCAAAAATCAAATTCTAAGTTAAGTCTCTGACTTAGACTTATTGCCGGGGGTTCATCAAAACTATACAAATTAATTACCCAGTGCTATACCATCTTTTTACAGTTTTCAATTAAGTCATAAACTCCACTATCACCACCTCCAGCCTGATGATTAGATCTCACCTAAAAAACTCCCTCCAGCCTCATTGAAAAGGGTCTTTATCAAATATTGTTACTAACCTTTTTGCTCTTAAGTTTCAGGTATTTGACTTCTGGGTACACATATCTCATTTAAAAAGGAGCACTGACTCCTACTGAATCTTAAATGTCAATGCTGACATTGAAGCGAGAAATTTTCCCTGAGTCCTTTGTGGGCAGGAACTGGAGTGCACGGTGCCAGCAGGTGCAAACTCTGTTCACTCAAACCTGCTGTGATCAACCCATCACGGGAGGAAGCATGCAGCTGAGCAGGTGCAGGAGCTGGGGCTAGCACTTTTGGGTGCCGGCAGGAACGAACTTCATTCTGGCCCCATGGCAGCGTCTAGGGGAGTGCCTGTGACCCCCAAAGCCCCAGAAGGAGTGTTACAGTCAGTGCCCTTTTAGCTTTGACATCCACAGATGGCTTAAGTGTTAACAGCTTAGTGGAGGGTAAATGTGACAGCCTTTTGCACCTGCACCCAAGTTCTTGTCTGACATCCAAGAGGAATGAGGTTGCAGGAACAAATTGGAGATGGTAAATGCGGGGATTTCATTGCTGATGAAAGTGGGTCTCAGTGGGAAGGGGAGCAGAAAAGGGAATGGATTGGGAAGGTAAGCTTCCCCTAAAGCTCTGAAGCTATACCATCAAGCTGTCTCTCTGAAATGAAGCCAATTTGCTCCAACATCCAGGCATAGTCACTGATGTCCTGCTGCTTCTCTTCTTTGCCAGCTGAGCCTGGGATTTTATGGGCACAGGATGATGGTGGGGACAGGCCATTGGTAGTTTTAGAAAAGGCAACATTAGAGTGGGAAACAGGAATGTATGTTCTCACTCTGGGCCACAGTTCCAGGTTTGAGGGTGGGGCCCTCACCCACCCTCTTCGGCCCAGAATTTTTCTGCTTCCTGTCGCTATCAGTATCTGACATCAAATGTAAGTTAACCAAAGCCTCATCTTCAGAGCTGGGAGAAGATGAGAGTGAAAAAAACTGCTTTTGTATGACACTAAACCAGGCTTGTATACAAAGGCATGAATACTCATTTAATAATTTTTTCTCTATCTAAATTAATATAATTTGTTCTATGCCTTAATGTTAGATAATAAATGCTAGCTACCTGTGAGTTTCCGTCTTCTGTCAGAGCAAGGCAGGAATTAAGCTCTTTTTCTTTAAAATGTTGCTGATTCCTTACATTTTGTTTTCCAGAGTAAAAAAAGAAATGCCTTTTCCTTTTGAGCTATATGTAGCTTACAAAATTGGTAAAACACAGATAGATTACCTTTGTCTCTCTACCTAATATCTGCCAAATGTAAAACCTGCTTAGACTCTCACTGGGCCTGATCTGTCTTCATTGCTAACACCTTGCTACTAAGGCTACATAGGCACCTTCCCTCTAGACCCAGGGGCTACTGTGGAAGAGGTGGGCAGGTGAGCTTGTAAGGGATTAATTTCAGAGACAGAATTATTTCAGAGCCTCCAAATCAAGGACAGACATCCAGATGCCTAAACAGCTGGCAAGGTAGGGGCCTTTTCCTCCTGGGCTATTACATGGCTGCTTTCCATCCATCCCAACTATAAAGAATTTTATGCTTGTCCCAGGATTAAAAGAAAATTACCAAGAGCATAACAAGAAACCTCGTCACAAAGCCTCCTGGATATACTGCTCCTAGCTGTGAGATTTATGCAGATATATGTAACTTTTTAAATCAGCCACCTCAGGACAAATGATGAAAAAGACCACGAAAAAGCACTGCAGCACAAAACAAGCCTCTGTGTTCTTTAGCTTAAATGGTTTCAACAAAATGCTTTTGTTATTTACAGCTAATTGCTAGAAGTCTGTAACAAAAATCAAGATTATTGTATTGCTCAATGCACAGAATGTATTGATAAGTCAATTTTGTAACCTTATCTTTTGGTTTTGGGCTCTTATATTGCTTAAAGATCTTAACGGCTGATAAATGCCTGCCCATCTCCATTCTCATCCAGCCCTACAACATTTAAATTTGCTATAAGTCTTTTGGCTCTAAGCCCCTTGGCCATACGGATCCCACCAAAGAACATGATGCACCTGGGGCAGATAGCCATAGCCACACACTCTGGCAACAATAGAGGACAAATAAAACTTTGGCCATCAATGTTGCCTCTGGAAAATCTTGACCTGAGGGAGAATAATGTAAACCAAAAATAAAAGTCTAAGCCCCCACCCCAACTGACACTCTCCTGGTTAAGGAGATCGCAAAGAAACCAAACAACTAGAAGAGAGTTCAGACATGACTCTTTCTACCCCCTCTCTTTGGAGTTTAGGCACAACTGAGCAACAGTAATGTTAAAATAGAGGTCCTGAGGCTGACAAAACAGACTCTCTGCAGCAACAAGATACCAAATTCTAACCTCACTCTGGCATAGTATCATATGACAGATAGCAGGTCCTGAAGAAAATCAAGATCTTTTACCCCAAAATATATTTTTGACACATTTTAGAATGGTCCTGCAAAGCCATTTCCTGTGGGGGAAATTTGCATTCTCTAGAGAATCTCCTTCCGTTTCTGGGTCTTTTATGGACCCAGAAGATACTTAACTAAGAGTCTTACACATTTTACAATCTATTCCCTCTGCAGCCTGCTACTTAGAGGCTTCGTCTATATAACAAGAACTGTGGTTTTGAAAACCATCTTACCCTAACTGAAGCATTTCTTTCTACTGATTTCTTAAGTCTTTAGACAAGGATTGACTCTTTCAACGAACTGCTGATAATAAAATCTTTGAATCCACCTATGACCTATAAGTTGTCACTTCAAGAAGTCCCGCCTTTCCGTGCCAAACCAACATACATCTTACATGCATTGATTTATGTCTTTGCCTCTAATTTCTGTCTTCTCCTTAAAATGTATATTGCCTGTAATTTCTGTCATCTTAAAATGTATAAAACCAAGCTGTCACCTGACCAATTTTGGTAAGATTATTCTTGGGATTTCTTGAGGCTGTGTTACAGGCCATGATCACTCATATCTGGCTCAAAATAAACCTCTTCAAATATTTTAGAGAGTTTGGCTTTTGTCAACAGCATATATATATACACACACACACACACACATATATATACATATATAAAAATATATATAACATACATATATATTATATGTAATATACATAATAAATATAAAAATACATACACATATATGTATATGTACATATACATATATAAAAAATATTCCCTTAACCCCATGTCACTATCCATGTATAACTTTATATTTGTTCCATTATTCAGAGCAAACTTTTGTGATTTTCTTCAATTTTTGAGCCTCCTTTCTCCTTAGTCTACTTCACAAGATATTCTGTCCAATCACTCCATCGAAGCCCCTCTGTGAAGGATAGGAACGACTGTTATCTTGCACTCTCAGGCAATCAACTTTCTGTTTCACATTACTTAAACTTTACCCAAAAACTCACATGTAGACCCCTCCCTTCTATTAAAAAGACTGTCTTTTCTAAGTTTCTACCACACCACACTCCTCTGGGTGCTCCACATCTTTTTTATCCCTTTCTTGTCACTTTTTTTGTGGTCTAGTATTTAAATATTGAAATTCTCTTGTCCTATTCTTTAATTCTGTTAACACATAATCTGCGTATCAATAATTCTGAAACCTGTCTTCACATCTACCACCTAAAATGATATCTAGACTAAAATATCTAGCTGCTTGACATTTTTATTTAGATATTCAATAGACATTTCAAACTTAACATACTCATAATAAAGCTCTTAATCTTATACACACACCCCACATTCCCCTGCAGATGACCGTGCTCATAAGAAAGAATATTGATGCATAAAATCATTGGATTGAGGTAAAACAGAGCTTTTTGGGGTTTTTTTCTGTGTTTTCTTTATTTTTATTATTATACTTTAAGTTTTAGGGTACATGTGCACAATGTGCAGGTTAGTTACATATGTATACATGTGCCATGTTGGTGTGCTGCACCCAGTAACTCTTCATTTAACATTAGGTATATCTCCAAATGCTATCCCTCTCCCCCCGACCCCACAACAGGCCCTGGTGTGTGATGTTCCCCTTCCTGTGTCCATGTGTTCTCATTGTTCAATTCCCACCTATGAGTGAGAACATGCGGCGTTTGGCTTTTTGTCCTTGAAATAGTTTGCTGAGAATGATGGTTTCCAGCTTCATCCATGTCCCTACAAAGGACATGAACTCATCATTTTTTATGGCTGCATAGTATTCCATGGTGTATATGTGCCACATTTTCTTAATCCAGTCTATCATTGTTGGACATTTGGGTTGGTTCCAAGTCTTTGCTATTGTGAATAGTGCCCCAATAAACATATGTGTGCATGTGTCTTTATAGCAGCATGATTTATAATCCTTTGGGTATATACCCAGTAATGGGATTGCTGGGTCAAATGGTATTTCAAACAGAGCTTTTTGAAAATGTTAAAGTTTTGAAAACATTACCCAAAGATTATTTTTGAAATGCCAAGATGCATAACCCAAAAGGAAAGTTCATAAGATGTATCCATCACTAGCCATTAAAAAGTACTTTAAATCAATAAAAGTATCTATCGCTAGCCTTTTCTAGGTGTTGACTTATGATATCTTCCGTCATTGAGAGTCAAATATAGTAATAACTGCTTTCTAAATGCTACTGCTTTTTGCTTTTTTTTTTCTTTTCTGAGACAAGGTCCCACTCTGTCATCCAGGCTGGAGTGCAGGGCACGATCATGGCTCACTACAGACTCAACTTCTCGGGCTCGATAAATGCTACTGCTTTCTGAAAGGCAAAACTCATCATGCTGTTATCATCTCTTGCTTAACTTGATACAATCAAAGCACAATATTCCTCAAAAACATAAAAAATAAATTAAAAGTATAGAAATGTCTTCACTCCATTTCAACAAATAGATCCACTATCAATTTTGTTGCTCAAGCTTAAAACCTGGGCACTCTTCTGGATTCTATTTCCTTCAGACCTCATACTTTATTAATCATCGCCTGTTATTCACACCTTCAAGTGCATCCCAGTGATACTACTTCCTGTCACCTCTACTCCTAAAACTCTAACCCGTGCTGAAAATGTCTCTCTTTAGAACGCAGGAAAAGCCTCCTAACAGGTGTTTTTAGTTCATTCTTTATAAAGCAGCTAGAGTAGCATTCTCAGAATGTTATTTATAATCTGTCTTTTCTTTGTTTGAAACCTCTCAATGGTTTTTCTTTGCAAATTAAGTCAAGTTCCAACTTCTGTACCACAGCATGAAAGGCCTTTTCTGATCTGGTCACTACCCATGTTTTCAGACTTGCCTTCTCCACCCATTACTCATTCGGGATCTGCATCACTGTCAAGCCTTCTGAACACATCATTGCCATTTCAGAACATTGGCCCGTGTTATTCTTCCTACCTGGAAGGCTCTACACCTGGATCTTTCTATTCCTGTCTCTTTTTTTTTCTCAAATACAGCCTCAGAAACCTTCTTGAACACCATATCTAGGGTAACCCTCCACCTACCTCCACTATCCCATTATACTATTGTATTTACCACATTATTATGAGTTATATTTTAAATTTGTATCAGAGCATAATGTACACACAAAAAGGTATTCAATATACAAAAAATTTAGACTTGATTGATTTTCTTAAACTGAACATTGGGTATACAATCAGCATTGACATCAATAAACAGAAATTCAAGAACATGCTCATGCATCCTTCCAGCCACCGTCCCTCCAACAGTATAGGATAGTTTTGCTGGATCTGTACTTCATATGAAGGTACTCTTTTGTAGCTTGCTTCATTAGTTCAACAATATGTTTGTAAGTAGTATTAGAACATCTATTCTTATTTTATGAACATGTCACAATTTATCCATTTCGCCATCAGTGGGCTTTTGATTGCTTCCATATTTTATGTTACCATATGTCTTTTGGTAACATTATGCATACATGTTATCTGTTTTTTGTCATTGTAACAGCATATCTGAAGCTGAGTAATTTAAATAAAAGAGATTTATTTAGCTCACATTTCTGCAGGATATACAAGAAAAATGGTGCCAGTATCTGCTCAGTTTCTGGTAAGGGCCATGTGCTTGGTCAAAACATGGTAAAGGTCACAGAGTAAAGCAGATATGTGTGAAGAGAGAGGCAAAAACCAGAGGAACATCTGGCTTTATAGCCACCCACTCTCCTAGGAACTAATCTATTTTTATAAGAACTAATCCAGTCTTGCCAGAGTGAGAACCCACTCACTATCACAAGAATGGCATGAAGCCATTCATGAGGGATATGACCCCATGACCCAAATATCTTCCACTAGGCACCACCTCTCAACACCACCACATCGGGAATCAAATTTCGACATGTATGTTGGTAGAGACAAACCATATCCAAACCATAGCATTCTGCCTCTGACTCCAAAAACCAATGGCTTTCTTACATACAAAAATACAATCATTCCATCCCAGTAGTCCCTAGAGTCTTGACTTGTCCCAGCACCAACTCAAAAGTTTAAAGTACAAAGTCTCATTTGAGACTGAAGGCAAGCTCCTTCCAACTATGAGCCTGTGAAAGCAAAGCAAGTTATTTACCTCCACATTACAATGGTGGGACAGACATTTGGTAAACATTCTCATTCCAAAAAGGAGAATTTGACCAAAAGAAAGAAATGACAGACCCCATGTAAGTCTGAAACCCAGCAGGGCACACATTAAATCTTAAAGTTCCAGAAAAATCTTACTGGACTCCATGATCCTGGGCACACTGGTGTAAGGGATGGGCTCCCAAGGCCTCAGGCACCTCCGCCCTTATGGAATTGCTGGGCATAGTCACATATCTGCTCTCACAAATTGGAGTTCTATGCCTGCCACTTCTCCAGGCTGAGATTGCATGCTGCTGGTGGCTGCAACATTCTGGGGCCCCACTCCCATGCTGCCCCCATGGTTCTGTTAACCATTGCCCCAGTAGGGACTCTCTGTGGCAGCTCTGGGCTCACATTTCCAGTGGGAATTGCCTTAGTAGAGGCTCTTGGCAGTGGCTCCACCCCTGTGGCAGTTTTCTGACTGGACTTTCAGGATTTCCAAGCTGTCCTGTGAAATCTAGGTAGCACATGTAATATCTCTATGGCTCTTTTAATTTTGGCACTTGCAGATTACCATGTGGAAGCTATGGCTTACCATTTGGGCTCTCTGGAGTAGCCAGAGACACATATGGGGCTTTTTGAGCCACTGCTAGATGTACAAAGCAGGGTCCTGATGCAACACAGGGCACCAGGCTTAGGATAGTCTTTCAAAATAACTCTGCTTTCTCAGGCCGTGGGACTGCAAAGAGAAGGATAGCATGGAAGAGCTTTGAAATGCCTTTGGGATTTTGTTCCCTTTGTTTGGACTATTAGCACCTGGCTCCTTTTCATCCACACTAATCTCTTTAGCAAAGGGTCTCTTGGCTGTACCTCTGGTTTCCTCTCTTGAAAACACGAATTCTTTACCACATAGCTGGGCTGCAAATTTTCCAAAAATGTACACTCTGCTTCCCCTTTTCCTGACAGTTAACCTTATGCAGTTAGAAGTAGCTACATAGCAGCATGAGAGCTTTTATGCTTAGAAATTTCTTCCACCAGATATTCTAGTTCATTACTCTTAAATTCAGTCTCCCATAAAGTCCTAGGCCATGGACATCATGGACCCAAGTTCTTTGCAACTGTAGAACCAGGTTGACCTTTCCTCCAGTTTGCAGATAAATACTCCTCATTTCCTTCTGAGAACTCATCACAATGGCCTTTACTTGTCTACATTTCTAACAGCATTTTGGCCAGAACCACTAAAACGATTTCTAAAAAGTTGCAAATTTTCTCTTGTCTTTTTATTTTCTCCTGAGCCTTCTCTTTTCCTAAGCCCTCACAATAATTGTCCTTAATGCACCCTTCATGGTAATGCAGTTTTTTTTAGCCCCCTCCTCCAAACTCTTCCAAATTCTGCCCATTACCCAATTCCAAGCCACTTCTATATTTTCATGTATCTTTATAGCAACACCCCACTCCCTGGTACCAATTTTCTGTCTTAGTCCATTTTATGTTGCTATTGAAGAATACCTGAGACTGAGTAATTTATTAAAAAAAAAGAAGCTGATTTTGACTATCGTTCTGAAGGCTGAGAAGTATGAGAAACATGGGGCCAGCATCTGTTTGACTTCTGGTGAGGGACAAATGCTAGCTCAAAACATGGTGGAGAAGGTCAAAGGTGGAGCAAAACCTGAAGGATGTACTGGCTTTATAACAACCCACTCTCCCAGAAATGAATTAATTCCTCCAAGAGGTAGTTCAGACTTGCCAGGGTGAGGACTCGCTCACTAACACAAGAATAGCACCAAGCCATTCATGAAGGGTCTGCCTCCATGACCCAAACATCTCCCACTAGGCCTGACCTCCCAACAACACCATATTGGGGATCAAATTTCAACATAAGCTTTGGTGGGGGCAAAATAAACCAAATTCAAACTATAATATATCTATTAAGAATTCACTCAAGAATGGACCTGCAGGGGTGCAGGATATGGATATGTTTAGCTTTAGTCACAGCTACCACACACAACATGGTGGATATATGTGTTTTTTTGCTTGCTCACTTGTTGTATTTATTTTTGTTCATTGTCTTTTCCACACTGGAATGCAAATTTCTCAAGTGCAATTGCTTTGTTTGTCTTGGTCACAGCTATAAAGCATGAATGAATGAATGAGGAAGCTGTATCTGAAGAATATAGTGTTCTATCAATCACATTTCTTGAAATTCTGCCATCTAGTCTATTAATTAGAATTATTATCCTACAGAATTTTCTTGCTTCCCTGAAACTTACTGTTCTTACATGTAAACTATGACTCATAACAAGTTCTGCTTCCTTTGTTATGAAGTTGTTAAAGGATGATGAACCTGGCAAGGCACATAAATTTTTAAGTTTTAGATAGAGATTGATGAATATGATTATGATTATGACCATGATGATGTTTGTATAATGATAACCCCACATGGTGAATTATAATTTTGAGAAAGTCACCCTTTTGATGATGAGTGAACTCTTTATATAATTGGGATACTAACCATGTATCGGCACATGCTTTCTTTCCTCAATTCCTGGATCCATATGGAACATGAATATTAACTATGCCCTAATACTATTACATGGCTGATATATGCTTAATCTTGATGATCTCATGAGATATTTGAAAAGCATTTTACTGCCTTCCTAACCCATCCCCCTGTATGTTTCTCCAGTGTTTTAGAAACCCCGTTACCCCTCAGATATGCAGTGTTCTCATGATGTCTTTTCTGGGCAATGTCCTTTGCTTTCATCCATTTATTTTAAGTTATCTGACAAATAGTTTTCACTAATGTGTTGCAAAATAAAAAAAGATAAATACCGTACTTTTACTGAAAGTAATAAGCACCTGATTGTAGTGAGTACAATACCTGTTTAAGAAGACTATGTTCAATGACTCTTTCTACCAGCTTGCAGATGGAAACACATTTTTGTGTTTATGGAGCCCTCTTGTATTTATTTAGAATACATGTGAACATGGCAGGAGAAACGGAAGGTATAAGAAAAAAAGAAAAGAGAAGGAAAAGAGATCAAGAGGACGTTTTTTTACATTAGTTTTTTTTTCCCACCAAGTTGAACGCTCTTTGAGGAAAAAAACACATGAAACTGTTTTTCCTCTGCTTCCACACCACACAACAACCAACATATAAGATGTATGGGACCAAATGAGTGGGGGATTTTTGATACACACGAAGTAAACAATCATTTCTGCAGTGGACACCACTTGGTGTCCTCCAAATCAATTCCATTCGGCCACTATCTACAGTCAAATGCGCTAGCCCAAGCTAAACTCCTATGACCATCTGCCACTATCTACAGTCAAATGCGCTAGCCCAAGCTAAACTCCCGTGACCATCGGCCACTATCTACAGTCAAATGCGCTAGTCCAAGCTAAACTCCCGTGACCATCTGCCACTATCTACAGTCAAATGCTCTAGCCCAAGCTAAACTCCCGTGACCATCTGCCACTATCTACAGTCAAATGCTCTAGCCCAAGCTAAACTCCCGTGACCATCTGCCACTATCTACAGTCAAATGCTCTAGCCCAAGCTAAACTCCCGTGACCATCTGCCACTATCTACAGTCAAATGCTCTAGCCCAAGCTAAACTCCCGTGACCATCTGCCACTATCTACAGTCAAATGCTCTAGCCCAAGCTAAACTCCCGTGACCATCTGCCACTATCTACAGTCAAATGCGCTAGCCCAAGCTAAACTCCCGTGACCATCTGCCACTATCTACAGTCAAATGCGCTAGCCCAAGCTAAACTCCCGTGACCATCTGCCACTATCTACAGTCAAATGCTCTAGCCCAAGCTAAACTCCCGTGACCATCTGCCACTATCTACAGTCAAATGCTCTAGCCCTAGCTAAACTCCCGTGACCATCTGCCACTATCTACAGTCAAATGCGCTAGCCCAAGCTAAACTCCCGTGACCATCTGCCACTATCTACAGTCAAATGCGCTAGCCCAAGCTAAACTCCCGTGACCATCTGCCACTATCTACAGTCAAATGCTCTAGCCCAAGCTAAACTCCCGTGACCATCTGCCACTATCTACAGTCAAATGCGCTAGCCCAAGCTAAACTCCCGTGACCATCTGCCACTATCTACAGTCAAATGCGCTAGCCCAAGCTAAACTCCCGTGACCATCTGCCACTATCTACAGTCAAATGCTCTAGCCCAAGCTAAACTCCCGTGACCATCTGCCACTATCTACAGTCAAATGCGCTAGCCCAAGCTAAACTCCCGTGACCATCTGCCACTATCTACAGTCAAATGCTCTAGCCCAAGCTAAACTCCCATGACCATCTGCCACTATCTATCTGGAGATAGTGTCAGATCCCACAGGGTGAGGGCTCAGTCCCATAACACTGCCTTCCATTTCCAGTGCCAATTAAAAGCCCCAAGTTGTCCTGTACTTTTGACCAAGTGATTGTAAATTGGGGATCCCACGGCCCTTCCTTGGGTTCAGTTAGTTTACTATAAAGGCTCACAGAATTCAAGGAAACACTTACCTATGTTTACCACTTGTTATAAATGATATTACAAAGGATACACAGAAACAGTCAGATGAAAAGACACAGAGGGTGAGGTCTGGAAGAGCATAAGAGCTTCTGCCTCTGTGGAGTTGGGACATGCCACCCTCCAGGCACATGGATGGGTTCTTATCACCCTCCTGTTCAGCTTCATGAGTTTAGCTGTCCAGAAGTTTTCTGTCCTCTCCTTTTGGCCCTTATATGGAGACTTTATTGAATAGTCATGATTGAAGCATGGACAATTGCACAGAAATATGATTGAACAAAGAGTATGACCTAATGTTGATAGAGTGAGTGGGGACACCCACGAAGGCCTGTCTGATCGGATTTTTCTTGGCCTCTCTGTATAGCATTCCCTCCCCCAGGGTATGAGAGAAGACCTCTTTTGAAACAGAGGTCTTATGACATACAGTCAGACAAGGTAGTCAGATAATTTCTTTGTGACCAAAAGCGGGGAAAGATTGGATTATATTTTTAGTTTCTAAGGCTTTCTTTGGGGAGAAAAAGAAGCAGGTGAAAAGAGGGAAGGCGAAGATCACAGAGAGAGATTCAGTTTTCTGAGGCCTAAAAAACCACAACATCATAACTATGGAGTTATGAACCAGAAACCCTAGCCAAAAAACCAATATTGTAATCATATGACTCCCTCCCTTTTTGCTTCATCTTTTGATGAAAGCACAGCCACAGTGACCACAGAGTCCCCCATTTACCATATGCATGGGAAGGAGTCGACTGTCAAAAGACACCTCCTGACACCCTTTGAGGACCCTTGAACCTCCCCAAGGCCCTCTTCAGAGCTCCAGTCACATCCTTGTTTCTAAGGCTGTAGATGAGGGGGTTCAGCATGGGTGTGAGAATGGTGTAAAACACAGAGAGGACTTTGTCCTGGGCTGGCTTGTGGTAAGAATGTGGCAGCATGTAGGTGTACATGGCAGCCCCGTAGAACAAGGACACCACAGTCATGTGGGATGAGCAAGTGGCAAATGCCTTCTTCCTGCCCTCCACTGAGCTCATGCACTGAACTGTAGTCAGGATTCGGGCATAGGAAGCAAGGACTACAGAGAAAGGAATCAGCAGCATCAAAACACAGCACACATACATCACTGTCTCGTAGAGGGCTGTGTCTGCACATGCCAACTTCAGGACTGCTGGTGCCTCACAGAAGAAGTGGTTAATCTCCCGGGAATTGCAGAAGGGAAAGCTCATGGTGATGGGGGTTAGGAGGAAGCCATCCAAAGAGCCCCCAAACCAGGAACCTGCTATAATCATCCAACAGACCCGGCGGCTCATGAGGACAGGGTATCTCAGAGGGTTGCAAATGGCCACATAGCGGTCATAGGCCATGAGGCCCAGCAGGAAGAATTCAGCTCCCACAAGGGTAAGGTAGAGGAAGTGTTGAGCTGTGCACCCCACAAAGGAAATGGTCCTTTGATCCAGCAGGTAATTAACCAGCATCTTAGGCACAATAGTGGAAATATACATCATGTCAATTAAGGAAAGGTGGCTGAGGAGGAAGTACATGGGTGTATGAAGGCGCAAATCTGTTTGGATCAGGAAGATCATAACCCCATTGGCCATCAGTGCGGTGAAGAAGATGATAGAGATGATGGCAAAAATAAGACCTGAGGTTTCCTTTCTGTTGAACAGCCCCATGAAAGTGAAGTCTGTAGAGGATGTGTTGTACTCTTCCATTGATCCTACAGTTGTGCCGATATAAGGTAATATCTTCCAAATAAGATGATAGCATTCCCAGGGCAGTAAAATAACAACATGTGAATTAATTGTTAGGCAGCAAACTTTTAAAAGTGGGAAGAAAACATTTAAAAAATAGTATTCTTGCCACATTGAGACTGATATCTAGCATTTACTCTATTCCAGAAGGTTTTTAAATAAAATTGGTCATTATTAATCAATAATTGCTTAAATACATTGGAGAAGATGAGGTCAGCAGATGATACTGTATTACGATGATGTGCATAACAATGCCTAAGGTTGCATACCATGCTACACAGCAGTTACGCATACCATGGTCCGGTGTATGCGTGTGTGTATTACCTTAGATGCATTTAAATTTGTATTATTATTTAATGTGTCTTTGTATGGTTGGCATCACCACTACTTTCAAAACATCTTTGGTGCTGGCTGTGAGTAGCTCATGTCTTCCATTTAGCTACAAGTACGGGTTATCTACCATTTGGGTCACAAGTCACTGTCTACATCATGAGAGTATACTTGGTGTTAGTTTATCCATGTCCCAGACAAATTATAAGGGATGAAATAAAAAGGGCAACAGAAACTCAACGGAAACTACTCTTGCAAATTTAGACATAAAAATTATTCTCAATACAAGAGGCATTCAGTGTTGTAGAATTTTATTTATTTTCAATTTTAAGATGATGAGGAATTAGCATTAGGATTATGATTAGCATGACCATTAGAAATCAGTATTAGCAATTAATATTCAGAGGAAATACCACAGGGACGTAAACATTGAGCTATAATTCACTGATTATTTTTGGAAATTAGAATTTTTCATAGTTCTTCATAATTAAGAAAAACTGAGTGTGTTTTATACAATTTCAGGTTACAATAAAGAAACAAATATCCACAACAAACTTCATGGAAGTAAAGGATGATTTTTCACATTGTTTAAGGCTAAAAGTGTCCCAAGAAAGACATTTTACCAACATATTTGGGAGTAAAATTGATCAAACTAGTCTAGTGCTCCTCTAAATATTCTAAAAATATTAGCATTTGAGTCAATTGCCCAGAAAAAGAAGTTGCTATTGAGAATAATGATGATGACATCGTGGAGTTTATTTTGCAAAGTGTCATGCTAAGAAGTACTTTGTAACTATTGACTCCCTGATCTTCACAATAAAACTAAGAAGTGAGGAGCTATAAAAGCCCCTCTCACCAATGACAGCATTGAGGGTAACGTGTTGGTGGTCACGGGGTCTGTTAGTGCCAGGAGTGTTTGGACTAGATAGTCTCAATTCATTATATATTCATACACATGGCATTGTGTATATAGGAAGCTTTATATGGGAATAGCAGCTAGACATTTACTGTAATTAGCAAATAAAATGTACCAAGCATGTGAACCTGCTAAATTGTTAACAATGTAATAACTAATGTGACTAATGAAAATTAGTCATACTTGAGAGTAGATCACATAAATTATTATAATCAGGATTGCTGTTTTATGGATATAAACTATGTGTACAGATATACACACATATATAAAAATGTACACATAGATACATCATATGTATATTTTATATATATATATAATGTATATTTTGCTAATTCAGAATATTTGGTGTCAGGTTTTATACATTTTTATGATACTATGTACAATGTCATCATTACTTACAACCTCCCTCATTTTACTTTTTTTAGGTTTCATTAATGGAACCTATAAAAATATATTTCTAAAGGGAAACTCCTCTCCAGTTTATGTCGCAGCCTAAATATTAGCAGTATTTCAGCTACTTCCACACTTCCTACATTTTCGGTTTGACTTTTATCATGCGATAAGACACCAGAAACAGAGGGAAAATCATGTGCTGCTTCACAAAGTCAAACAGTGGTCTCTGCTGTCTGTTCACCCTTACTCCCATTTTATACACACACACACACACATATATGTAATAGCGCCCTCTGCTCTCTGTTCACGCTTACTCCCATTTTATACACACACACACGTATATGTAATAGCGCCCTCTGCTGTCTGTTCACGCTTACTCCCATTTTATACACACACACGTATGTGTAATAGCGGCCTCTGCTCTCTGTTCACGCTTACTCCCATTTTATACACACACATATATGTAATAGCGGCCTCTGCTGTCTGTTCACGCTTACTCCCATTTTATACACACACACGTATATGTAATAGCGGCCTCTGCTCTGTTCACACTTACTCCCATTTTATACACACACATATATGTAATAGCCTCTGCTGTCTGTTCACCCTTACTCCCATTTTATACACACACACACACACAAACATATATATGTAATAGCGGCCTCTGCTGTCTGTTCACGCTTACTCCCATTTTATACACACACACATATATGTAATAGCGCCCTCTGCTGTCTGTTCACGCTTACTCCCATTTTATACACACACACGTATATGTAATAGCGGCCTCTGCTCTGTTCACACTTACTCCCATTTTATACACACACATATATGTAATAGCCTCTGCTGTCTGTTCACCCTTACTCCCATTTTATACACACACACACACACAAACATATATATGTAATAGTGGCCTCTGCTCTCTGTTCACGCTTACTCCCATTTTATACACACACGTATAGGTAATAGTGCCCTCTGCTCTCTGTTCACGCTTACTCCCATTTTATACACACACACGTATATGTAATAGGGCCCTCTGCTCTCTGTTCACGCTTACTCCCATTTTATACACACACACGTATATGTAATAGCGGCCTCTGCTGTCTGTTCACGCTTACTCCCATTTTATACACACACACGTATATGTAATAGCGGCCTCTGCTCTGTTCACACTTACTCCCATTTTATACACACACATATATGTAATAGCCTCTGCTGTCTGTTCACCCTTACTCCCATTTTATACACACACACACACACACACAAACATATATATGTAATAGCGGCCTCTGCTGTCTGTTCACGCTTACTCCCATTTTATACACACACACAGGTATGTAATAGTGGCCTCTGCTCTCTGTTCACGCTTACTCCCATTTTATACACACACGTATAGGTAATAGTGCCCTCTGCTCTCTGTTCACGCTTACTCCCATTTTATACACACACACACGTATATGTAATAGGGCCCTCTGCTCTCTGTTCACGCTTACTCCCATTTTATACACACACGTATATGTAATAGCAGCCTCTGCTCTCTGTTCACGCTTACTCCCATTTTATACACACACACGTACATGTAATAGCGCCCTCTGCTGTCTGTTCACGCTTACTCCCATTTTATACACACACGTATATGTAATAGCAGCCTCTGCTCTCTGTTCACGCTTACTCCCATTTTATACACACACGTACATGTAATAGCGCCCTCTGCTGTCTGTTCACGCTTACTCCCATTTTATACACACACGTATATGTAATAGCAGCCTCTGCTCTCTGTTCACGCTTACTCCCATTTTATACACACACGTACATGTAATAGCGCCCTCTGCTGTCTGTTCACGCTTACTCCCATTTTATACACACACGTATATGTAATAGCAGCCTCTGCTCTCTGTTCACGCTTACTCCCATTTTATACACACACGTACATGTAATAGCGCCCTCTGCTGTCTGTTCACGCTTACTCCCATTTTATACACACACTTATATGTAATAGCAGCCTCTGCTCTCTGTTCACGCTTACTCCCATTTTATACACACACGTATATGTAATAGCGCCCTCTGCTGTCTGTTCACGCTTACTCCCATTTTATACACCCACACGTATATGTAATAGCGCCCTCTGCTGTCTGTTCACGCTTACTCCCATTTTATACACCCACACGTACATGTAATAGCGCCCTCTGCTGTCTGTTCACGCTTACTCCCATTTTATACACACACACGTATATGTAATAGCGGCCTCTGCTGTCTGTTCACGCTTACTCCCATTTTATACACACACACGTATATGTAATAGCGGCCTCTGCTGTCTGTTCACGCTTACTCCCATTTTATACACACACACGTATATGTAATAGCGCCCTCTGCTGTCTGTTCACGCTTACTCCCATTTTATACACCCACACGTATATGTAATAGCGGCCTCTGCTGTCTGTTCACGCTTACTCCCATTTTATACACCCACACGTATATGTAATAGCGCCCTCTGCTGTCTGTTCACGCTTACTCCCATTTTATACACACACACACGTACATGTAATAGCGGCCTCTGCTGTCTGTTCACGCTTACTCCCATTTTATACACACACACAAACATATATATGTAATAGCGCCCTCTGCTCTGTTCACGCTTACTCCCATTTTATACACCCACACGTATATGTAATAGCGGCCTCTGCTCTCTGTTCACGCTTACTCCCATTTTATACACACGCACATATATGTAATAGCGGCCTCTGCTGTCTGTTCACGCTTACTCCCATTTTATACACACACATATATGTAATAGCGGCCTCTGCTGTCTGTTCACGCTTACTCCCATTTTATACACACACACGTATATGTAATAGCACCCTCTGCTCTCTGTTCACGCTTACTCCCATTTTATACACACACACATATATGTAATAGCGGCCTCTGCTCTCTGTTCACGCTTACTCCCATTTTATACACACGCACATATATGTAATAGCGGCCTCTGCTGTCTGTTCACGCTTACTCCCATTTTATACACACACGTATATGTAATAGCGGCCTCTGCTCTCTGTTCACGCTTACTCCCATTTTATACACACACACATATATGTAATAGCGGCCTCTGCTCTCTGTTCACGCTTACTCCCATTTTATACACACGCACATATATGTAATAGCGGCCTCTGCTCTCTGTTCACGCTTACTCCCATTTTATACACACACACGTATATGTAATAGCACCCTCTGCTCTCTGTTCACGCTTACTCCCATTTTATACACACACACATATATGTAATAGCGGCCTCTGCTCTCTGTTCACGCTTACTCCCATTTTATACACACGCACATATATGTAATAGCGGCCTCTGCTCTCTGTTCACGCTTACTCCCATTTTATACACACACACGTATATGTAATAGCGGCCTCTGCTGTCTGTTCACGCTTACTCCCATTTTATACACACGCACATATATGTAATAGCGGCCTCTGCTGTCTGTTCACGCTTACTCCCATTTTATACACACACATATATGTAATAGCGGCCTCTGCTGTCTGTTCACGCTTACTCCCATTTTATACACACACACGTATATGTAATAGCACCCTCTGCTCTCTGTTCACGCTTACTCCCATTTTATACACACACACATATATGTAATAGCGGCCTCTGCTCTCTGTTCACGCTTACTCCCATTTTATACACACGCACATATATGTAATAGCGGCCTCTGCTGTCTGTTCACGCTTACTCCCATTTTTATACACACACGTAATATGTAATAGCGGCCTCTGCTCTCTGTTCACGCTTACTCCCATTTTATACCCAAATTTAAATATGCAACAGCGGCCTCTGCTCTCTGTTCACGCTTACTCCCATTTTTATACACACGCACATATATGTAATAGCGGCCTCTGCTCTCTGTTCACGCTTACTCCCATTTTATACACACACGTATAGGTAATAGCGGCCTCTGCTCTCTGTTCACGCTTACTCCCATTTTATACACACACACATATATGTAATAGCGGCCTCTGCTCTCTGTTCATGCTTACTCCCATTTTATACACACGCACATATATGTAATAGCGGCCTCTCCTGTCTGTTCACGCTTACTCCCATTTTATACACACACACGTATATGTAATAGCACCCTCTGCTCTCTGTTCACGCTTACTCCCATTTTATACACACACACATATATGTAATAGCGGCCTCTGCTCTCTGTTCACGCTTACTCCCATTTTATACACACGCACATATATGTAATAGCGGCCTCTGCTGTCTGTTCACGCTTACTCCCATTTTATACACACACATATATGTAATAGCGGCCTCTGCTGTCTGTTCACGCTTACTCCCATTTTATACACACACACGTATATGTAATAGCACCCTCTGCTCTCTGTTCACGCTTACTCCCATTTTATACACACACACATATATGTAATAGCGGCCTCTGCTCTCTGTTCACGCTTACTCCCATTTTATACACACGCACATATATGTAATAGCGGCCTCTGCTGTCTGTTCACGCTTACTCCCATTTTATACACACACGTATATGTAATAGCGGCCTCTGCTCTCTGTTCACGCTTACTCCCATTTTATACACACACACATATATGTAATAGCGGCCTCTGCTCTCTGTTCACGCTTACTCCCATTTTATACACACGCACATATATGTAATAGCGGCCTCTGCTCTCTGTTCACGCTTACTCCCATTTTATACACACACACGTATATGTAATAGCACCCTCTGCTCTCTGTTCACGCTTACTCCCATTTTATACACACACACATATATGTAATAGCGGCCTCTGCTCTCTGTTCACGCTTACTCCCATTTTATACACACGCACATATATGTAATAGCGGCCTCTGCTCTCTGTTCACGCTTACTCCCATTTTATACACACACACGTATATGTAATAGCGGCCTCTGCTGTCTGTTCACGCTTACTCCCATTTTATACACACGCACATATATGTAATAGCGGCCTCTGCTGTCTGTTCACGCTTACTCCCATTTTATACACACACATATATGTAATAGCGGCCTCTGCTGTCTGTTCACGCTTACTCCCATTTTATACACACACACGTATATGTAATAGCACCCTCTGCTCTCTGTTCACGCTTACTCCCATTTTATACACACACACATATATGTAATAGCGGCCTCTGCTCTCTGTTCACGCTTACTCCCATTTTATACACACGCACATATATGTAATAGCGGCCTCTGCTGTCTGTTCACGCTTACTCCCATTTTATACACACACGTATATGTAATAGCGGCCTCTGCTCTCTGTTCACGCTTACTCCCATTTTATACACACACACATATATGTAATAGCGGCCTCTGCTCTCTGTTCACGCTTACTCCCATTTTATACACACGCACATATATGTAATAGCGGCCTCTGCTCTCTGTTCACGCTTACTCCCATTTTATACACACACACGTATATGTAATAGCACCCTCTGCTCTCTGTTCACGCTTACTCCCATTTTATACACACACACATATATGTAATAGCGGCCTCTGCTCTCTGTTCACGCTTACTCCCATTTTATACACACGCACATATATGTAATAGCGGCCTCTGCTCTCTGTTCACGCTTACTCCCATTTTATACACACACACGTATATGTAATAGCACCCTCTGCTCTCTGTTCACGCTTACTCCCATTTTATACACACACACATATATGTAATAGCGGCCTCTGCTCTCTGTTCACGCTTACTCCCATTTTATACACACGCACATATATGTAATAGCGGCCTCTGCTGTCTGTTCACGCTTACTCCCATTTTATACACACACGTATATGTAATAGCGGCCTCTGCTGTCTGTTCACCCTTACTCCCATTTTATACACACACACGTATATGTAGTAGCGCCCTCTGCTCTCTGTTCACGCTTACTCCCATTTTATACACACACACGTATTTGTAATAGCCTCTGCTGTCTGTTCACGGTTACTCCCATTTTATACACACACACACACACGTATATGTAATAGCACAGGGACATACATATTGAGGTATAACTCACCGATGATTTTTGGAAATTGGAATTTTTCCGTAGCTCTGGCAATTAAGAAAAACTGAGGGACTGTTTTATACAATTTCAGGTTACAGTAAAATCCACAACAAACTTCAAGAATATAAAGGATGATCTTTTATCCATTATATATATATATATAAGTATATACATTCATAATTTCCTCCCATAGATTTATATATGTATATATGTAACTCTTCTGTGGTTCTAGCTTTTTCTATGGCCAGCTAGCCCTGCAAACCTAGCAATGCAAAGGGAAATTCTAAAGTCTACTCCATTTTGCAGCCAAGTGGCCTTACTTTTCCTATCTGCATACAAAAGATCTAATTTATCAGAGAACAAGCCCTCCTCAAAGTAAATTATGATTTTAAGTAAAATGTTTTGTTAAATTTATTATCTGCTCTCTCACTAGAGTGAGCACAATAAGTAACTATACTTGTTGAATATCTCCTGGGCATAGATCATACAGCTTTGCTATGGTTTAGTACACATAAAAATAATCAGAAAATGTTTGGAATGATTCTGTGACTTTATATAGGCATTTGTTTCTGAAATGATGAAGGCAACATACAGTAAAACAAAATTTAGAATTAAATGAATTGAGTTCTTCCTCTGGTCACGACATTAATTAATTCTGTGACCTTGGATTATCTTCCTAAACACCCTGAGCCTCAGTATCTGCTTATATTAATTGATATAATAAACATTCAGGGTTACTTTAAGAATCAAATAAGAAATTTATAGTTACAGGTGCAAATATTTTATACAATACCAAGTAAAATGTAAGATATCTGCAAATTATTTCAAAACTATTGGTAAATGGGTGCAAATTCTCAATCTCTCATTTAAGCAATCTACATATTCAACTAAAATCTATGAATTTAAATTGCAAATACCTCCTGATCTTCAGAAAAGGTCTGTAAACCCAGGTGCTCCCAGTGAAGTTACATCAGCAGTTAAAGTCTATCTTTTCCCCCAAGTATCCTTTGACTTGAAAGGATTGTTACTTAGTAGAAATTCTCAGAAAAAACTGTGCATTTCAATTAAGCTTGCAGAACATCTAAATGCCTTTGAAGAGCAGAAGTATGCTTGGCCTGCAAATTTTGAGAAAATTATTTTTAAAAAGTTAGTGGATAAAATAGACATAATTTTATTGGATAAAATTGTCTTTTAGGCCTACCTAAACTATTTTTTATTGCATAATACCGTACACCAAGAGATAAATCAATGCATTTATGTTATCCTGACATTTGTAAATATTCTGTACTATTTTATAAGGCGTGCATGTTGGTTGAGTAGGGATGGCCGCAAATATTTTCCTCCCACATCACTACAGTTTGAAGGTAGGACACAATGCTTGCCCAGGACTGTGATGATCTCCAAGCCCATCCTTTAAATCAAGTGACAAGATAATTCCTAACTTGTAAGTTGCAGCCTTTGCTTGCTTCCCTATGACCACTGGTGAAGTTTCTGCCAAAGAAAAGAGCAAGCTCCATGCTCCTTCAATGCAGCAGCCTTGTTAGGAAGCTCTGCATTAGCTTAAATTAAAGCTGCTTCATGCAGGATTCTTCCTTGCCTTCTGAATCTGCTTGGAACCAGTTTTCTCTCTTTGCAACATTCAACATTTCATAATGTGAATATGACTACAAGGTTTTCTGTCCTCCTTCTCTATACCGGTCACACTTCTCCAGTTATTTTATGCATTCATGTATGAATTTTTTTCCAAAGTGCTCAACTTCCAGGTATTTACTGGGGATAGCTTTTGCAATGTCTATTTTAGAATATAATACCTCAATTTCAACAGATTACTGTAGGTGTGGTTTTTCCTGTACAGAATACACTGGCAATATTACTTTTCTGTTGTTATCGCAGACACATTGAGTCATTACATACACATTCAAACTTACAGTTACCTTTTCACATGAGAAGTTCTCAAGACAGGTCAATACAGTGCTGTGCAATTTTGAGACTAAATACAAAAATATATGTTCCTAGTTTTTCTCCGTGTTCCTAAATTCTGTTTAGTATTTCAAAAAGTTGGAATCATTAAGAATGAACTCATATTGAAATAATAATCATACAATTATTAGATAATAAAGCACTAATGTACTCTGACAATTTTAGAGTAACTTAGAACCACATTCTTCAACCCACACACACCTCCTACAAGACCCATAAAGAGACTACACACTAGAATAAACCCCTCTACTAGAGAGACCTGTTATTTCTGATGAGAGTTTATTTTATGCTTGGTGTGATGGACACTAAAAAAATGCCTGTGAATCACTGGCAAAGTGGATCTGAGAAATCCAGGTGTCTGCACATTCTTTGAAATCATTGTGGAAAAAAGGATTTTTAAAATGCTTGCACGTTTGACAGTCAGGCAACGAGTCTATGTTGGAAATTAGAATGCCTGTAGGAGTCTGCCTTACGTCAGCTCTGTGTCTTTAATGCAAGCATCTTCAACTCTCCAATCATCAGTGTTCTTATCTGTAAAACGAGGGGAAGGAGATAAAGACAATGCACTGTTCAGAGATTCAGGAAGCCTGGTTCATAGTCTGTACTTTAGAAACTAGGAGTAAGTACAGGTTTTTCCTTTAGATCTTTTGTGCCTTTCGAACAGTATTGTCCTTATCCTATCTAATTCATAAGACTAAAGTTTGCTTAAATTATTTTTTTAAGAAAAGCAGCAAACATTTAAGAAAAGATTCTTTGCACTGTTACACTCAATGGCATCCTTCTACCTGAGATTTACAACACTCACTCCATGTAATTCCCACAGATAATCAGACAGGCACTCTTTTTCTCAATGCACTTGCATTTGGCATGGAGGGAATGGGACAGTCATTCCTCATTATACTTGTGCCTGAGATTTCCAGCCCAGGAGTTGCAGACAACTCTGCCTCAACTTTCTTAGATCCAGTTTACGTAAATCTTGTTTATGTCATATAAAGAACGTAAATTCAGTCAGACCACAATGAAATGTTCTGGCAACCCGGTCATTTGCATATGCACCAAATATTTAAAGTGCTACTATGAGGAGGAGTCAGTCTAGGTGCTCATCAGCATTTGACTTCTTACCTGTGAAATTCCTGCATAATTCCAAAAGACCTGGATTTTCATTAAGGGAATAGGAAGAGTGGAACAAACAAAGTGAGTCTAAGTACAGCAGAAGCTCCTAGATGATCCATTTTAATTGCCTAATTTTACTGAGGGATGTTGCATCATTTAGACAAAACCTTAACTATTAAATCCAATTATTTAATTTTCAAAGAGCTTCATAAAGTAATGTATTCATGTGTTCTATATGTTCTCACATTTCTCATATCTCCTCTCATCCATGCAATCTGAATGCCACCCACTCAAAACAGCATGTGACACACATCACTAAGTAGACATCAAGGAATACAATATACATAATTTTCATAAAAATTATCCAAATATCTAATTTTATTCCAAACTGTATTCCAACAAAAGATGATTATCTGTCACTTACAGAGAGCTGAATCTGTCAGGATAGCCATTCAGAGTAGTAGATAGAGAAGGTTATGTATAATTTAGTAAATCAAAAACTTACTGGCAAACTACAACAACTTTATGTAACTAAACAAGCGATGAAGAACTAAGACTTTTTAGAAGGTTGAAGGTGATATTTTGCTAGAAGGAAAAATGATTAGATTTAGTAGACTTAAATTCTCATCTAACTTATACCAAGAAGAAAACACACAAAGCAATTCATAGTCATTGGTACCCACAACAGGAAATCCTTCAACATCTAGGCCATCTGGATGCCAAAGTGCTGTCAGCATGTTACCCTGAAGATCCAGTATGCATAGATTTCTAATTTGGATTTATGAACTTGGCATGACTGAAGGTATCCTTAGCAACTGATGATGGAGTTAGGACAAAGAGAGACATGCAACAAGTTTATTAGGAGCTATTTTTGTAATATAACTCTGCAGAAGGAAGTATTATTAAGCCAAACAAATAAATGCCACCTTAGAAATCCTTGAAACAATTTGCATTGCCAGGACAAATTGCATAAATTCTCCAGCCTTCTAGAAACATGTAATAATGTCTATTTCTTATCTTTACAGGGAAATATTTAGCAACTAAACAGGTCTGAAAAACTAAAAATGCAGGAAGAAAGCAGCAGACCAGTAAAGAGTGCCGAATTATTCTGGGTGTTCTGCTTTTGAGATCCCTGGAGCGACAAGGGAGCGCCCAGATTGAAAAGAGGCATGAGTTTAAATAGTTTTCTTTGAGGGACATGGAATGAAGTGCTCTGGGAAAGAGCAAGTTTCTTCCTTTTGGATCTCAGGAGACTTTAATGAGACGGACTTATTACAGCTAATGAGAAGTGTATTGATGGGGTGGAAAACAGTGAACATTTAAGTGACATGGGCTTTGAGAACATGTTTCAACTCCTGTGCTTCAAAGTGTAAAACTGATTTCCTGAGTGTTTCATCAGAAAGTTCTGCCAGCAGCTCTTCCTCACAGAGAAATGTGGGAACAAATGTGGAAAGCCATTAAAAAGATAAAAAGTAGCTTTATTTCTATTATATTTTAATAACATAACATCTGTTATGTTTGTTGGTAGTTTAATAATTATTATTTTATTTGAGCATAAAGGTAACGCATACCCATCGGGAAAAACATAATACCAGATAGGGTTATCGAAAACACATCATAGAGATGATTATCCTTACAAAATTGCATTTATACTGTATGTGTTTGTTTGTGTGTATGTTCGTGGGTATGTGTGTGTATGTACCAGTAAACTACAAGAGCTTTATGTAACTAAACAAGAGGTAGAGAACCAACAGAGAGACACATGCAGAAACTTAAACACTATAAATAGATATGGCATTTACACAACAACATATATGTGTGTGTGATGAGTGTCTGTGGGTTAACATGTAATTCCACAATTTGCATTGTTCACAAAATACAACATAAAAAGTGCCCCGATGTGAAATATTCTCCCAAACGTAGCATGCACTATCCACAAAGTACTATACTTTATGGATATGCTCAATATTATTTAATTAATGCTCCATTTTTATAACATACATACAGTTTTAATTCAGGGGACTAAAAAATAATGTGCTGATTAAATCCTTATGTCTAATTTGAGTATAGATTTTGGAAGTTTTCTTCATCGACTTTTCCTCAGTCAATATTATTTAATTCATTTGTGTGAATATTTTTAAAGTTTTGATTTTGTTAAGTTGCACCTCAAAAATATTATCATTTTTTATATTATCAATTCACATCTATATATCAATCATTTCATCTATCTATAAATAAATAAACACAAACACACAGATCTGGAAATTCTGATGTAAAAGGACTAGATTTAATGTTTTCTGTTGTTTTTCCTAGAAAGGTTAATTAATTTTTTTAACTTCAACTTTTTTTTTTTTTTTTTTTGAGACAAGAGTCTCACTCTGTCTTGCCCAGGCTGGAGTGCAGTGGCATGATCTTGGCTCACTGCAGCCTCCACCTCCAGGGTTCAAGTGATTTTCCTGTCTCAGCCTCCCGAGTAGCTGGGACTACAGGCATACACCACCACGCCTGGCTAATCTTGTATTTTCAGTAGTGATGGGGTTTCACCATGTTGGACAGGCTGGCCTCGAGCTCCTGACCTCAGGTGATCCATATGCCTTGGCCTCCCAAAGTGTGGGAATTACAGGCATGCACCACTGCACTCGGCCAACTTTTATATTTTTACTATTCATTTATTTAACTTCTTTTGAAAAAATCATTTTATTTATTTATTTATTCATTCCACTTTATTTGAGATTCATGGCGTACATGTGCCTGAGTGTATTGTGTGATGCTGAGGTTTGGATTATAAATGATCCCATCACTCAAGTAGTGAGCATGGTACCCAGCAGTTTTTCAACACCTACCCCCTCCCTTCCTCCCACCTCTAGGATGTAATGGTTGCCATCTTTGTGGCCAGGTGTTCAATGTTTAGCTCCCATCTGTGAGTAGGAACATCCAGTATTTGGCTTTCTGTTCCTGTGGTAATTCACGTGGGATGATGGCTTCTGGCTCTATCCATATTGCTGCAAAGGACAGGATTTCATACTTTTTTAATGGCTTCATAGTATTTCGTGGTGTATATGTGCCACATTTTCTTTTTTTTTTTTTTTTTTGCCACATTTTCTTTATCCAATCTACCATTGATGGGCAACTAGGTTGATTCCATGTCTTGCTATTGTGAATAGCATGGTGTTGAATATATAAGTACATGGGTCTTTTTGGCATAATGATCTATTTTTCTTTGGGTATATACCCAGTAATGGGATTACTGGGTCAAATGGTAGCTCTGTTTTAAGTTCTTTGAAAAACCTACAAACTGTTTTCTACATTGGCTGAATTGATTTACATTCCCACCAACAGTGTATAAACATTACCTTTTCTCCACAACCTCAGCAGCATCTGTTGTTTTTGGCTTTTTAATAATGACCATTTTGACTGGTATGAGATGGTATCTCATTGTGATTTGATTTGCATTTCTATGATGATTAGTGATGTTGAACATTTTTTCATGTTTGTGGCCAATTATATGTGTTATTTTGAGAAGTGTTTATTCATGGTATTGGCCACTTTTTAATGGCGGTGTTTGTTTTTGCTTGTTGAATTATTTAAGTTCCTTATATACTGCAGATCTTAGACCATTTTGGCATACACAGTTTGTGAATATTTTATCCCTTTCTTTTTTGGATTAAACGAATTTTTAAAATTATACTTTAAGTTCTGGGGTACATGTGCAGAATGTGCAGGTTTGTTACATAAGTATACATATGCCATGGTGGTTTGCTGCACCCATCAACCCATCATCTACATTAAGTATTTCTCCTGATGCTCTCTCTCCCCTTGCCCCCCACACTTCAACAGGCCCCAGTGTGTGATGTTCCACTCCCTGTGCCCATATGTTCTCATTGTTCAACTTCCACTTATGAGTGGGAACATGTGGCATTTGGTTTTCTGTTCCTGTGTTAGTGTGCTGAGAATGATGGTTTCCAACTTCATCCATGTCCCTGCAAAGGACATTGACTCATTTTTTTAAATGGCTACATAGTATTCCATGGCATATATCTGCCACATTTTCTTTATCTAGTCTGACATTGACAGGCATTTGTGTTGGTTCCAAGTCTTTGCTATTGTGAATAGTACTGCAATAAACATACGTGTGCATGTGTCCTTATAGTAGAATGATTTATAATCCTTTGGGTATATACCCAGTAATGAGATTGCTGGGTCAAATGGTATTTCTAGTCCTAGATCCTTGAGGAATTGCCACACTGTCTTCCACAATGGTTGAACTAATTTACATTCCCACCAACAGTGTAAAAGTGTTCCTATTTCTCCATATCCTCTCCAGCATCTGTTGTGTCCTGACTTTTTGATGATTACCATTCTAACTGGTGTGAGATGGTATCTCACAGTGGTTTTGATTTGCATTTCTCTAATGACCAGTGATGATGAGCATTTTATTATATGTTTGTTGGCCATATAAATGTCTTCTTTTGAAAAGTGTCCGTTCATATCCTTTGCCCACTTTCTGATGGGGTTGTTTGTTTTTCTCTTGTACATTTGTTTAAGTTCCTTGTAGATTCTGGATATTAGCCCTTTGTCAGATGGATAGATTGCAAACATTTTCTCCCATTCTATTGGTTGCCTGTTCACTCTCAGGATAGTTTCTTTTGCTGTGCAGAAGCTCTTTAATTTAATTAGATCCCATTTGTCAATTTTTGCTTTTGTTGCAATTGGTTTTGGTGTTTTAGTCATGAAGTGTTTGCTCACGCCTATGTCCTAAATGGTATTGCCTAGGTTTTCTTCTAAGGTTTTTATGGTTTTAGGTCTTACATTTAAATCTGTAATTCATCTTGAGTTAATTTTTGTATAAGGTGTAAGGAAGGGATCCAGTTTCAATTTTCTGCATATGGCTAGCTAGTTTTCCTAACACCATTTATTAAATAGGGAATCCTTTCTCTATTGCTTGTTTCTGTCAGATTTGTCAAAGATTAGATGATTGAGCAACCCCAAGACATGTAATTGTCAGAGTCTCCAAGGTTGAAATGAAGGAAAAAATGTTAAGGGCAGCCAGAGAGAAAGATCGGGTTACCCACAAAAGGAAGCCCATCAGACTAGGAGTGGATCTCTCTGCAGAAACCCTACAAACCAGAAGAGAGTGTGGGTCAATATTCAACATTCTTAAATCAAAAAATTTTCAACCCAGAATTTCATATCCAGCCAAACTAAGCTTCATATGTGAAGGAGAAATAAAATCCTTTACAGACAAGCAAATGCTGAGAGATTTTGTCACTACCACGCCGGCCTTACAAGAGCTCCTGAAGGAAGCACTAAATATGAAAAAGAAAAACCTGTACCAGCCACTGCCCAAACAAACAAAAATGTAAAGGCCATTGACACTATGAAGAAACTGCATTAACTAATGGGCAAAATAACCAGCTTACATCATAATGACAGGATCAAATTCACACATAACAATATTAACCTTAAATGTAAATGGGCTAAATGCCCCAATTAAAAGGCCCAGACTGGCAAATTGGATAGAGTAAAGACCCATCAGTGTGCTGTATTCAGGAGACCCATCTCATGTGCAAAGACATACATAGGCTCAAAATAAATGGATGGAGGAAGATTTACCAAGCAAATGGAAAGCAAAAAAAAAAAAAAAAAAAAAAAATTCAGGGTTTACAATCCTAGTCTCTGATTAAACAGACTTCAAACCAACAAAGATCAAAAAAGACAAAGAAGGACATTACATAATGGTAAAGGGATCAATGCAATAAGCAGAGCTAACCATCCTAAATATATATGCACCCAATACAGGAGCACTCTGATTCATAAAGCAAGTTCTTAGAGACCTACAAAGAGACTTAAACTCCCACACAATAATAGTGGGAGACTTTAACACCCCACTGTCAATATTAGACAGATCAATGAGATAGAAAATTAACAAGGATATTCAGGACTTGCACTTAGCTCTGGACCAAGCAGACCTAATAGACATTTACAGAACTCTCCACCCCAAATCAACAGAATATACATTCTTCTCAGCACCACATAACACTTACTCTAAAATCAACCACATAATTGGAAGTAAAACACTCCTCAGCAAATGCAAAAGAATGAAAATCGTAACAGTCTCTCAGACCACAGTGCAATCAGATTAGAACTCAGGATTACAAAACTCACTCAAAACCACACAACCACATGGAAACTGAACAACCTGCTTCTGAATGACCACTGGGTAATTAATGAAATAAAGGCAGAAATAAGTAAGTTATTTGAAACCAATGCGAACAAAGACACAATGTACCAGAATCTCTGGAACACAGCTAAAGCAGTGTTTAGAGGTAAATTTATAGCACTAAATGCCCACAGGAGAAAGTGGGAAAGATATAAAATTGACACCCTAACATCACAATTAAAAGAACTAGAGAAGCAGGAGCAAACAAATTCAAAAGCTAGCAGAAGACAAGAAATAACTAAGATCAGAGCAGAATTGAAGGAGATAGAGACACAAAAAATCCCTTCAAAAATTCAGTGAATCCAGGAGCTGGTTTTTTGAAAAGATTAACAAAACAGATAGAATGCTAGGCAGACTAATAAAGAAGAAAAGAGAGAAGAATCAAATAGACACAGTAAAATATGATAAAGGGAATATCACCACTGATCTCACAGAAGTACAAACTACCATCAGAGAATACTATAAACATCTCTATGCAAATAAACTAGAAAATCTATTTTATCCCTTTCTATAGGTTGTTTGCTTACCCAGTTGATAGTTTCTTTTGCTGTGCAAAAGCTCTTTAGTTTAATTAGGTCCCTCTTGTCAATTTTTGTTTTGCTTGCAATTGCTTTTGAGGATTTAGTCATACATTATTTCCCATGGCCAATGTTCAGAATGGGGTTTTGTAGGCTTCCTTCTAGGCTTCTTAGTTTGAGTTATTACATTTAAATCTTTATTTCATCATGATTTAATTTTTGTATATAGTGAAAGGCAGGGGTCCACTTTCATTCTTCTGCATATGGCTATCCAGCTATTACAGCACCATTTATTAGGTAGGGAGTCCTTTCCCCATTGCTTGCTTTTGTCAACTTTGTCAAAGATAAACAGGGTGGAGGTCTGTGGCTTTATTTATTTGTTCTCTATTTGATTCAATTTGGTCTATGTGTCTGTTTTTATACCAGTACCATCTGCTTTGGTTACTGGAACATTATAGTATAGTTTGAAGCCAGGTATTGTGATATCTTTAGCATTATTCTTTTTGCTTAGGGTTACTTTGGCTTTTTGGTCTCTTTTTTTGTTTCATCTTAATTTTATAATAGTTGCCTCTAATTCTGTGAAAAATAAAGTCTGTAGTTTTTTCTGAATAACATTAAATCTGTAGATTTCCTTGGGCCACTTTAATGAGATTAATTCTTCCAACCAGTGAGCATGGAATGTTTATCTGTTTGTTTGAGTCTTATTTACTTTCTTTCAGCAGTGTTTTGTGGTTCTCCTAGCAGAGATCTTTCACCTCTGTGGCTAACTGCATTCCTAGATTTTTTATTTTTGTGGCTGTTGTAAATTGAATTGAGTTCTTGATTTGGATCTCAGCTTGAATGTTTTTGGTGTTTAGAAATGTCACTGAATTTTGTATATTAATTTTGTATCCTGAGTCTTTACTTGAAGTTGTTTCTCAGTTCCAGGAATCTTTTGGCAAAGTCTTTTGGTTTTTGGGGGGTATTGAATCATATTATCAGCAAACAGACATAGTTTGCCTTCTTCTTTTCCTTATTTAGATGCTTTTTATTTCTTCTTGCTGTGCAACTGCTATGCTATAAACCATTAGATGGCACTTGGGGGTAAGAGCTGACTACAGCCAATGTGGCACCCCACGTCCTAGAACTCATCCCGAGGCACCCACCTGTGTCCATCCTGGCTAATTAGTTTACATCACTCTTCCCACAGGGCCTACATGTGACCTCAGAAAAATCCTCAGCACAGCAATCCAAAAACCTAGCAGTGATCTTTGCAACTAGCATGTACCAAAAACTCATCAGTTTGACAAAACTACCTTGAATTCTTCTCCTGCATTAATAATTCTTCACATTTCATTTGAGCATCATTGTGAATGCCTGATGCTTGTCAGGCTGAATATCTCTGGATAGGTCCTAGAAGGCGCCAGACTCCTGTTGCTCTATGGTCCCCAATCATTCCACCTACACTCCTTCCCATGCACAGTCCTGCATTTTTTAATGTAAAACCATTGACTTCTTGAGAACATCAATTCATATCAAAAATCACTCTGTGCTACACAACGCCTACATATTTCTAAAGTCTAGTAATAAAATGACATATATTTATGACATTATGAATTTCAGAATAGTGACAAAAACCTTTAGAAATGTTGCTCACGTTCTTCCTCAAGTTTCCAAAAGGGTTGTGCATGACTTGATAGTTGCCGTGTTAATTTTGTTCTGAGGGAATCAACAACCATATCTAGGAGAGTATTCCCTATTCACTTAAGTAGAAACTCAGGCTAAGGCAACAGAGTCATCCAAATGGTAGACTGAGTTACTAGGAGAGCTAAAAGAAAAATTAATCTCTCTTCTAGCCATTACTAATTCTTCTTTGAGCACAAATTATGCATTTTGCTAGCTGGTTCCAACCAGGGGAAGCACATGTTTCTAAGAGGTTTCCCGCAGAGTCAGGCTGAGTTTTGAACTGATTTTCCTGCAGGGATGGCCAAATGGCCCACAAGTGGCTTCACATTCCATCAAAGGCTGAATATCTGAACTCGAGATGAAATTCCCAATGATGGGTCATGAATAATCAAATTCTTTAAAAAAAATTCACTCACTCTAAAAAGGCCTTCTCCTGAAGCAGCATCCCTCTTTTAATAGGTTTTGGTTTTCTGGTGTGAGGTAATATAGACATTTCCCCCCCTCTTCCATATACAGATGATGCATTTCCAGTATTTTCTTATATATGCAGAACAGGGAAGGAATGCTAACTTGGAATGAGGGGCTCCTACCATATGCCCCAAGCATAAAACTAATTAATATTTGGCCCATGTTCTTCTAACTTTCCAGGAAATATTAGCCTCACTGCTCCCGCGTCTTCAAAACAACATATAACCAAACTCCCAAAACAAGACCAATTAGATTAACAAACTTTTATTATTTCATCCCCATCCCCCATCCTAACTTCTACAAACACCACAATTCTTTGATGAGAACTCCTAATGATTTATTGACTGAAATCCAATCAAGAAATATAGTATCAGAGAGTTATATAATTGTTAGAAAACTGTTTTAAAATGAAATTTTATATTTTAGAACAATGAGGTTTACCAAAAAATTGAATGGATAGTTCAGAAAGTTTTTATATATCCCCTCTCTTTTCCCTATTGTTAACATCTGGCATTAGTGTAGTACATTTGTTACAATAGATGAATCAATTTTGATACATTATTATTAATAGTTCATATTTTACATAAGGATGAGTCTTTCTGTTCCAGAGTTGTATGTTTTTTTCCACAAATACATAGTACCATGTAGCATAATCTTATGTAACATTAATTACTGTGTCATATACAATAGTTTCACTGCTCTAAAAGTCCTCTGTGCTCTGTCCATCCATCCATACTTCCCCCAGACCCCTTGCAACACTTATCTTTTTCCTGTATCCACAGTTTTGTTTTTTCCAGGATGTCATGCAGCTGGAATCACACAGTATGCAGCCTTTTCAGATTGGCTTCTTTCACTTCACAATATACATTTAAATTTCCTCCATGTCTTCCAATGGCTTGATAAATCATTTATTTTTAACACTAAATAATATTCCACTGTATGCATGTGCCACACTTTATCCATTTAATTTCTGAAGGACTTTCTGATTAAGTCTATGTTTTGGAATGTATGAAAAATCTACTGTGAACATAAGTTTCCAAATCAGCAGAGTTAACACCAAGAAACACAATTGCCAGATCATATGATAAGATTATGTTCAATATTGTAAGAAACTGTCAAACTGTATTCCAAAGTGGCTGTACAAGAGAGTGTGCTTTTGTCTGTAACGGATCGATAGAAATGAAAGAAATTGTAAAAACTGAATATAAAAGTCAATCATCTTTTCAAAGAATAGCTGAAATAATGACTAGCATTTATAAGGTTTTATTACATTCATCATTTTACTTGATTTTAAAATCTTACAAGAAAAAAAGTATGTATTAAGTCAAATTTTATAAAAAAGAAAGTTGGTCCTCAGAAGCATTGTATGATTGACAGAAATTCACATGGTGTTTACGTGGAGCTGAAACTGATGATCAGTTCTTATGGGCCAGCCCTCTCCTTCTCTTCTGATTTGTTGTGTTTTTTGTACCTCAACATCTTCTTGGTTGGAAATGCTCCCTCATATTATCTGGCACATACTGTTGTCCAAGACAGTCTGACAAGATTGAGGAGATGTTGAGCCTCCAGCTGAAGAGCCTCGGAAAAGCTGTTCCTGGATTTCAACTGAAAACCCTGCTCTGTTAGGCAAGACCTGGTCTATTTTCTTGATTAAGTGCTCAGCCCAATGCCAAGTTGAGCTGTTCTATTTGGCTAAATATTTTGTCAAATACCCAGCAGCTTTTTTCAGTACAAAAGGAGGTGTGGCTATCTTTCATTCACCCACCATCTTCAGTCGCTGCAGAACGTCACTGAACCCGGCTTGGATTTTGTTAAACCAATGACAGTACAAAGCCTGGCACAGCAGCTTGTAGAGGTGGCCTGAGGGGTTTGGGATGTGGTCCTGGTTTTTACTACTGTGTCTACAGTTTAGGCCAAACATTTTTTCTCCAGTTCTTAGCCACTTAAAAAGAAATCATACTAAGTGTATAGAACACCCTTGACGTAGCCAACTCCATCTTAGAAAAAGACTTTATTTTATATTTCATAGAGCACTTTTCCAACAAGGATAAGATGTGTTGTCTACTAAACAAATTAAAAAATAAAAGACTGTATCCAACCAGATAAGGACTCAAACAAGCACACTCTTCCATGATCAGTTCTCATGGGAGGACTCTGTAACCGTAAAAGAGCAGGCCTTCAGCAGCTCGAAATAGCCATGTTAACTGATGCCATCTTGCAGTCACTGGTGATGAAAACTTGGCATCTGCTGCTGAAGTCTCTGCCACCTCAGAGACTCTTTCTTGCAAGACCAGTGGACCACCCGGCCTGGACCAGGACCGCTTTTCTCTTCTTCTCTCCCCTTGGACTGGTTTGTGATCCTTTCTCCTATCCCTTTTCCTTCTTGTGTTAAATGTTAGTTTGTTTGTTGTGAAATGTTAAACCTATAACATTTACATATTGATTAAGTATACTATTATGTATGGTTTGCAATATTGACTGACTTGTGGAGTGGCTTGAGTCTGTGTGCCCACAACGCTGACTACCAAGTGAATGAAAAGTACTAAGGAGAGTTGCCCCCTTGGGAACTCTATGTAGCTCATGGTGGCTTTTGTGATTGAAACAGCATCAATAAAATCCTGACATTGTGGAAAGACACAAGCATTTGTGGTCCTGGTTATTTCTAACTTTGCACCGCTCATGACACTAAGTCATTTACAAGGGTTTCCAGTTCTAATTTTCACATGAAAAGCTGGGTATTTCCTTCCCACTTTGCAATGCTATCCAATGCAAAAGCCAGTGCTATAGAGAAGGAAAAATATGACGCTGTCTACTACTTTTTTAAAAGAGAAAAGTTGGTAGAAATAGCTCCAACAACACTAACATCTGCACAGGGATCCCAAAAGTTTAAAAATGCTAGTGAATTGGAGAAGAAGCTGTAAAGTGATTACAGAAACTGCTAGTTAATAGGGCATTTCTTTCTCAACTACCTTTTGCTGTGTCTTCCAATGTAACAGTTAGTTACCATATTAAAAAACTAACATTACAGACTCCCTCCCCCATAAAGATTTAGTCTTGGCATTTCTACAAAACACATGATTCATTTTTTTTTAGCTCCAAATGTAGATAAAGGAGGAGTGTTTTCAGTGGTTACTCAAAGAAGAGATATTTGGATTTTCTAAATCTTGGTGTAAGTCTATGTAGATTTTTCTTTTACAGTTTTATGACAGTTTAGTCTCTTTCATATGTCTTTCAAACCTTGGCATCCCTAAATCTTTGACAAGCCAATTGATGGATTGTTTAAACAATATAGTCAAAATCACCAGTTCTTATGGAGCCATTGAAAATGGGCAGAATATGTAATATTAACTCAACATTTTGGGGCATTCATATACACAAACTGCAATCAGAGAAGTGATATGAGAGAAGACTTGGAATCAGTAGAAACAAAAGAAGAATAAACATGAGTGGTGTTTCTAGAACTCTGGCATTATTTGTGTGTGACTGTTACAGCAACTTCCCATTTTTGATGGGGGTACTGTTGATACACCATTTAGCACAGCTGGTATTGAAAGTTCCTGTCAGCATCATCCGTGGTATCCATGATACGACCCCATATATGCCTGAACAGGATGTGGAGGTTTTAGACCATCAGAATTCTTTCCTCATCACACCACATGTCCCCTAACATCTTGCCACAACTCTCTTCAAGGCACCCATCACATCCCTGTTCCTCAGACTGTAGATGAGAGGGTTTAATAAGGGTGTGAGGATGGTATAAAAGGCAGAGAAGACCTTATCTTTGATTGGGGTGTGGTAAGATTGGGGAAGCGTATACGTATACAAGGCAGCCCCATAGAACAATGTCACCACCATCATGTGTGAAGAGCAGGTGGCAAAGGCCTTCTTCCTCCCTTCAGCCGATGTCATCTGATGCACTGTGATGAGAATCCTGGTGTAGGATGCAGTCACCACCGAGAAGGGGATCAGCAGCATTGCAACGCAGCACACATACATCACTGTTTCATAGGTGGTTTTGTCCCCACAGGCCAGCCTCAGCATGGTGGGTGCCTCACAGAAAAAGTGATTGATTTGGTGAGAGGCACAGAACGGGAGACTCATGGTAATGGGGGTGAGGAGAAAACTGTCCAAAGCCCCACCGAACCAAGAGCTGGCCAGGATCATCCAGCAGACCCGCCAGCTGATGAGGACAGGATAGCGCAGTGGGTTGCAGATGGCCACGTAGCGGTCATAGGCCATGAGCCCCAGCAGGAAGAATTCAGCCCCCATAAAGCCCATGTAGAGAAAGCACTGAGCAGTGCAGGCGATGAAAGAGATGGTCCCCTCGCCCATGAGATAATCTACCAGCATCTTGGGCACAATGGTGGAGATGTATAATGTGTCAATGACGGAGAGGTGGCTGAGGAGGAAGTACATGGGGGTGTGGAGATGAGGGTCTATGTTAATCAGGAAGATCATGACCCCATTAGCTATCATGGCCATGAAGAAGACGGCACAAATGACACCGAAAAAGAATCCTGAGCATTTATTGTGAGTGAAGAGCCCCATGAGGGTAAAGCCTCTGGTCAAGGTTTCATTGTTTTCATTCATGGTACTGAGTTTGAAATGGAGGCATAAGAAGAGAAGCAGGGTCAATGAAAATGACAAAAGATAAATCACTTAAACATGTCTGTGTAAACATTATTAGATTAAAATCTTTTATGTAGCTAATATAAAACTTTTTTTGGTGTGGTAGATTTGTAGCTTCCTTTTTCTTGGCTATTTCTTTTTGATGAAGAATAATTTCAACATTAGGACCCCATGGGATGAAGATGAATGAATGTTTGGCAATTGATACTTGGCTTAAGGGAGTTTCATTATGATTGAAGAAAATCTGGGCCCTAGAGAGGATCCTTCATTTGGAGTTGGCTCCATTTACTTAAAATGTGGATACAACTGAAAGACTATTGATCCAATCAATTCAAACAACCCAATAAAATAATTCAATAGGCCATTGGCTCAAATTGGGAATTTCTGTGATAATTTTAAAACCTATTGGTCTCATCCAGAAATAACCATAAATTGTAGACACAACTGAAAACTATGTTGAACTGTAATAAACATGATTACATTATCTGCCTGATCATTGGTCATTCTTATGTGTTCCCTCACCATTTGTCAATTTCTCATCCATTTGCACACTTAATCTTTATTTATGGAGAGAGTACTGTGCAGTGTTCTAAGCTCTGGGGATACTGTAGTAAATAAAAAGAATATGAATCATGTGACTTACATTCTAGTTATGAAATAAGCACAGTAAATCAAAAGTGGGAACCATGGTTCCAGGTAATGCAAATAAGGGCTTTGCGGAAAACTTCAACACAGACAATGAAAGATAAAAGAAAATTCATGTGAAGATTTAGGGCTAGGGTGTTCCTACAAAATAAATAGCAAATGTGACATCCCTAAAGCAAAAAGGAGTTTGGGATAGTCAGGAAACAAAAGTCAGTTCAGGAAGAGAATTGCAAGTGATGAAGACAGTGAGATATTAGTGATCAGTTCTTCAAGGTATGCAGGCCGGGGTAAAGAGAACAGAATTATTTTCTAAGTGTTATCAGTAGAATTGAGTTGCAGTTTGTAACATGTAACAGTTTAACTTTAACATGTTCATTATGATCTTTCTGTTTTTTTCTTTTTATCTCTTTGGTACATTTGAGTCATTTTTTGTTTTTGCTTAGTGTTGTATTTTTGTGGGTCTTGAAGGCTTAGACTGGGATAGACCAGGTTGTGCTTTCTGTCCTAATGTCCTCCTCATTTCACTCAAAACTTCCTGATTTGGTTGGTCAGTCGTAAGCCTTGGAGATGGTGACTGAAGGAAATGCATAAAAGATCTTGTAGGCCAGAGGCAGGAAACCATACACAATCTTAGATAGCTATGGGTGGTGCATTCACATCTTGAATACACGATGAATATAAGAATATCTTTTAAAAGTTTCCTCATCAGGTTTAACACTCTTTGAAATCCAACTTGAATTTCGAATTCTTGGACCCTTCTGTGTGCACTCAGGTGTTACACCAGACAGAGAGGCAGATGATGTAGCAGTAAGTGCACAGAGCCGGCAGCCAGCTTCCAGAACACCGTTTTGGAGTAGGGGGTTGCTCAATTCTGAAATACTTGCACTGAGAATGCTTGTTTGGGGTTCTGGCTTCATCATTTGCAATGTGCCCTAATGCACATTACTTAAAAACTTAGAGCCCGTTTCCTGATCTATAATTAGGATATCACAGGAAACTTACGGGATGTTGTCATGATCAAACGTCATGTAACATATGCAAAGGACCACAGCTGAGTAAATTCAAATGCTAATCTATGATAAGCTGTTGCGCTTGTGAGAGAATGCTGATAATGAGGACACACAATATCTTGCCGAAGGCAATATTGCATTTCTTAGCTACTGTGTGTATACCACAGGCACAAACAATAGGAGACACACTCTAAAAAGCACGTGTCACCTGTTGAGCACTAGGGGACACACTCTAAAATTATGTGTCACCTGTTGAACACTAACTAGGCAGGGCTGCAGGCTTGTGCATTGTCTTGTGAGTTATTTAAAATGATAAAATCTCAGAACATTCTTCCTGATCATGCAAATAATTGCCATTAGAGGAATCTTTTAGCAAAAGATATGGACTCGTAAAAGACTAGTTTCTGGGAAAACTGATTCCAGGAAGAAGACTGTCATTTCCTAAGTTCACTCTCAGATTAAACAGTGACTATCAAGATGTTAGGTAATAGCATTACATGAACAACAGGGCCTAAAAAATAATTTGCAAGTGTCTACATATTCTCCAGGGTGGCCTGTTTCAAACTTCTCAGTACATGCTCACGAAACCACAGAAACGATTCAATTTTTTATCTATACTGAAAATTAAAAATCTTGAGTACTAGAAAAAGATGAACCCTAGCGACTCCTCAGTAGAGAAAAGCCTCTTCGGTTTTGGCCAGCACATGTACAAGGTCTCTCATGGCGTGAACCACTCAGAAAAAGGATTGGCTGTGTGTCTCTGTGCCAGATTTTCTCTGCAGCAGGGTCTGCTTCTCTGCTTTCCCCATTCTTACCCTCCCCTAGCCAAGAAATTATGGAGAAAAAGGGTAGAGTTTTGCAAGTAGACCAACAAAGGAGGTTCTTGAAGGAGTGTTCTCAGCACAGTGAACAGGAGACTTCATTTAGGAAAGTGAGAAATACACAGACACAAGGAAAAATGCTAGCTAACAAGAAATCGAAACTTTTCCTTTCTAAGTTTTTCCTTCTCTTTCAACAAAAATTCAAACATAACTGCACAGTTTTGCTTACCGGTTTAGAAGAGGCTGAGTGGATCAGGTGGTGAGGGGAAAAACGGGCTGAAGATTTATTCTGTCCACTGTCCACCCAAAATGCAGATCCTCCATCTAATGGGTAGCATCTCATCTAACGAGCTCCTCGTGAGGACCTGATGAATCAGAAGGAGCTTCCCGCAATGTCAATGGGAGCAGAAACAGACGATAACATTAGGGAGCACTTCAGGAGAGGATGAACACACTCAGGCTAGTGCAGTGCTTTCTCCATGATGATAACACTAGGAAACACTTCAGGATAGGATGAGCACACTCAGGCTAGTGCAGTGCTTTCTCCATGATGATAACACTAGGAAACACATCAGGATAGGATGAGCACACTCAGGGTAGTGCAGTGCTTTACCCATGACAATAACATTAGGAAACACTTCAGGAGAGGATGAGCACACTCAGGCTAGTGCAGTGCTTTCTCCATGATGATAACACTAGGAAACACACCAGGATAGGATGAGCACACTCAGGCTAGTGCAGTGCTTTCTCCATGATGATAACACTAGGAAACACATCAGGATAGGATGAGCACACTCAGGCTAGTGCAGTGCTTTACCCATGACAATAACATTAGGAAACACTTCAGGAGAGGATGAGCACACTCAGGCTAGTGCAGTGCTTTCTCCATGATGATAACACTAGGAAACACTTCAGGATAGGATGAGCACACTCAGGCTAGTGCAGTGCTTTACCCATGACAATAACACTAGGAAACACATCAGGATAGGATGAGCACACTCAGGCTAGTGCAGTGCTTTACCCATGATGATAACACTAGGAAACACTTCAGGATAGGATGAACACACTCAGGCTAGTGCAGTGCTTTCTCCATGATGATAACACTAGGAAACACTTCAGGATAGGATGAGCACACTCAGGCTAGTGCAGTGCTTTACCCATGACAATAACATTAGGAAACACTTCAGGAGAGGATGAGCACACTCAGGCTAGTGCAGTGCTTTCTCCATGATGATAACACTAGGAAACACATCAGGATAGGATGAGCACACTCAGGCTAGTGCAGTGCTTTCTCCATGATGATAACACTAGGAAACACTTCAGGATAGGATGAGCACACTCAGGCTAGTGCAGTGCTTTCTCCATGACGATAACACTAGGAAACACATCAGGATAGGATGAGCACACTCAGGCTAGTGCAGTGCTTTACCCATGACAATAACATTAGGAAACACTTCAGGATAGGATGAGCACACTCAGGCTAGTGCAGTGCTTTACCCATGACAATAACATTAGGAAACACTTCAGGAGAGGATGAGCACACTCAGGCTAGTGCAGTGCTTTCTCCATGATGATAACACTAGGAAACACATCAGGATAGGATGAGCACACTCAGGCTAGTGCAGTGCTTTCTCCATGATGATAACACTAGGAAACACTTCAGGATAGGATGAGCACACTCAGGCTAGTGCAGTGCTTTCTCCATGACGATAACACTAGGAAACACATCAGGATAGGATGAGCACACTCAGGCTAGTGCAGTGCTTTACCCATGACAATAACATTAGGAAACACTTCAGGATAGGATGAGCACACTCAGGCTAGTGCAGTGCTTTACCCATGACAATAACATTAGGAAACACTTCAGGAGAGGATGAGCACACTCAGGCTAGTGCAGTGCTTTCTCCATGATGATAACACTAGGAAACACACCAGGATAGGATGAGCACACTCAGGCTAGTGCAGTGCTTTCTCCATGATGATAACACTAGGAAACACATCAGGATAGGATGAGCACACTCAGGCTAGTGCAGTGCTTTCTCCATGATGATAACACTAGGAAACACATCAGGATAGGATGAGCACACTCAGGCTAGTGCAGTGCTTTACCCATGACAATAACATTAGGAAACACATCAGGATAGGATGAGCACACTCAGGCTAGTGCAGTGCTTTCTCCATGATGATAACACTAGGATACACTTCAGGATAGGATGAACACACTCAGGCTAGTGCAGTGCTTTCTCCATGATGATAACACTAGGAAACACACCAGGATAGGATGAGCACACTCAGGCTAGTGCAGTGCTTTCTCCATGATGATAACACTAGGAAACACATTAGGATAGGATGAGCACACTCAGGCTAGTGCAGTGCTTTCTCCATGATGATAACACTAGGAAACACTTCAGGAGAGGGTGAACACACTCAGGCAAGTGCGGTGCTTTACCCATGACAATTAAAAACAGTTCCAGGATGAGACGTTACAAGAAAGGCTGCAAAGAAGAGCGCTGAAGACATAAAATTTTGTTAGGGTTGTGGAGGATAAAACTTGAGTAGCTCTCCAGGATGCAGAAAGGCAGATATTAAATGGTAAGAAAGATAGACATGGGCCGGGCACGGTGGCTCACCCCTGTAATCCCAGCATTTTGGGAGGCCAAAGTGGGTGGATCACCTGAGGTCAGGAGTTCAAGACCAGCCTGGCCAACATGGTGAAACCCTGTCTCTACAAAAGTTAGCCAGGCATGATGGCGGGTGCCTGTAGTCCCAGCTACTCTGGAGGCTGAGGTGGGAGGATCGCTTGAACCAGGGAGGCAGGGGTTGCAGTGAGCTGAGATTGCACCATTGAACTCCAGCCTGGGCAACAAAGCAAGTCTCCATCTAAAAAAAAAAAAAAAGAAAGAAAGAAAGGTAGACATGGAGTATTGGAATTACAAAAGCAAAATATAAATAATCAGTGTTTTAAAAAGAGTGATTTCACAAATAGGAGAGAATTATTAATAAAAATTGAAAAGGAAAACTTGGGAAAGGAACAAAAAGACTCTGTATATGGATGTTTCATTTCATTAATAAATACACTGTGTGTGTCTGGGAAAGTTATTTGAAGTAAAAGCATCTGGCAGCATCTAATAAAAACATAGTTGCATGCAAACAAAACACAAGAAAAGGAAAACACAGTCACCTACACAGGCTAAAATTCACACTGACCACAGGTGTCTTCCTGATAAATTCCAAATAAAAGTGAAAAAATGTCTAAACTGAAGATATACAATGTTGCAGTAAAAAGAGAGAGCTCTGGAGCCAGAATTTCCTTGGGTTTGACCCTTTCTCCACCACCAAATTGTGTGGCCACGGATACTGAAATTACTTTTGTATCCATTTCCCCCATTTGCTCTGTAATAATAGAAAGGGCCCAAGTTTCAAAGTTTACATCATTCACACACATCAGTTTCTTAGACTAGTATCTAGAATGTGCTATCTGTTCAGTAAAACTTATTATCGATATCATTAGATACATTTTAGTTGAGAGTAATGTGTGGCTCAAACAGGAAGACATTCTGAGATAAATTAGGGGGGATAAACAGTAAGATACAGCTGAATATTTTTGTAGATGAAACAAAATTAAGAAAAGGGAAGAAACTGTAATA
The DNA here is from genome assembly GCF_000001405.40 of Homo sapiens. NCBI lineage: Eukaryota > Metazoa > Chordata > Mammalia > Primates > Hominidae > Homo > Homo sapiens. The sequence goes on along the minus strand of NT_187518.1, from coordinate 29,761 downwards.
TTACTAACAGTAAACGTTGAATTCAGGTTAAATATATATATATTTAAAAATAATGTAAATATGATTGCCTTATTGCATAGAACTCAAAAGATTCTTATCAACAAAGACATATATATGTAGAAATAGATAGATACATATATATCTATGACATCTAATCTGTAGACACAGACATACCTATCTCTGTCTATACAGAAAACAGGGTCTGAAAATGGAATGCTAATACTATACATGCAAAACAAATTCTATTTAAATAGAATGTAAAATTAAGAAGTACCAGAAAGCAGCTTTCATTCATTTATGTATTTATACATTCAAGTATTTATTGTGATCCAGTATTCACTAGACATTTTTCTAGGAGCAGAAGATACCATTAACAATATTCCCTCTTTCTTGGAACATACAGGGCAAAGGGCTGATTATAAATAAAAACATATACAATTATGAAGAATCTAACATTTTTTCTAAGTAAATGAGCCAGAAAAAAAAATACATTTTTTTTTTTCTGGAGCCTATGACTCCAACACAGAGGCAACTATAAGAATAAGAACAATTTTGAAAAAGATTAACCAAATCAGTTACTGGTATTAAAATGAGTTAAAAGAATGTTTGTATGTGTGTACATGTGTGTTTGGGTGTCTATTAAAATGGTTTAAAATAATGAAAGAAAAAAAGGCATAACAGCACAGGAAATTAACGCGAAGCATATGATGAAATGAGATAGAAACAACTAGGTTAATCATGGCTACAACATCATTCAGAGTAAACATCCGCTTTCAAAGTGTAGATTTACTCTTCAAAGAAAACAAAACAAAATGTACAAAATGGAAAAGAAAACTAAAAAAATGCAAAAAGGAATGACATAGTATATATAAACTACAATATGAGGTGATATTATAAATGGAACAAAGAGAACAATTCTGTAATTTGGATTTTAAATGGAAATGCATTATGTGCTTAATATATTCAGTTAGCTTCCATAGGACAATCTCTTTTTTTTTTTTTACTAAAATATATTAGAATTCTAAAATCATAATAATAGGTTCACATCTAAATCAGAGAATTTGAAATACTTTAACGTATGCCTAAAACACTACTTAGACCAAAGGAAGTTCAAACTTTCATTAAATTAAATATATTATGTATGGAAGCCTATAGGATATAGCTAAAGATGTATCCAGACAAAATTTTATAACCTCTAATAATGTAATTCTTATAGAAAAAATATGTGATGTTAATAAAGATTCAACCCAATACATTAGAAAAATATCTGCAAAATACATTTAAATAAGAGAAAGACCATATAAAAGACTTAAATAGATATTAATGGATTTTAAAATAAGCAGACTGAATATTTAAAGTTGATTCTTTAAAACTGAAACAAAATAGACCTATTTCTGGCCATGCTAATGATATTTGAGGGCAGAAAGGATGACACAAAACATCATTAAAAGTAAGAAAAATGATCCAACTACAGATATGAGAAGAGTGATAAAATATTTATAGTATGAGAAGTTATTTTAACATTATATTAATATAGTTTGAAATTTTAATGAAGAAGACGATTTTAAAGTATAGTTTTGTATGAGTGCATGCATACACATAATATGCATATATAGTTATAAGTAGATATAATGCATACACACAAATATAGTCAAAATTCTTAATATGCATATATAATTATAAGTAGATATAATACATACACACATACAGTTAAAATTCTTAATATTCATATATAATTATAAGTAGATATAATGCATACACACACATATAGGTGGGGGGAGGGACAGCATTAGGAGATATACCCAATGTAAATGACGAGTTAACGGGTGCAGCACACCAACATGGCACATGTATAAATATGTAATAAACCTGCACGTTGTGCACATGTACCCTAGAACTTAAAGTATGATAAAAATAAATCAAAAAAAAGAAAATACCAAAGAAGATCTCTAAATTTGGAACAATTTAAAAGTTTTAATGGAATTCTGCTTTCCCAAAATTCCTAGTTCAGAAAACATCCCATAAAAATCTTCTAAGGACAGAAAATTTAAAAATCTTTGTACACAAAAAAATGGAATTAATTAATCATTTATTTTATAAATATATATAGCCTTCAAAAGACAGAAAACTCTCATAATTATAAACCAAGTTCACATATATAAATATTTCCCAAATGAATATTAATTATTGAACTCAGAAGTATATTAATAACAACACATCTTCAAACCTGTTCATATAAACTCCCTCTTTTCCCATTCTATCCCCCTTCAAAGATTCTTGGTTGTTTGTGAGCTAAAGATCAAGTTTTGATTGTGGTTTGTATGTCCCTAAGTGACCTGGATACTCAGCTCTCTACTCTGCAGCACTCTGTCAATTCCTGGCACCTCTCTCCCAGAAAATAGCCTGACTCAGGAGCTCTCTCTGCCTGGAGCACAATTCTCTCTTCATCTGGTTACTGTAGACCCAGGTCTCAGGTCACTTATACTTCTTGCAGGAATCCCCTATGGTTTTAATAACAATGTCAAATGCCCCAGCATATATGAACAAGTAGTTACTCATAATATCAACAACATATCAACAAAAATATTTCTTTTTCTTTTTCTTTTCCTTTTTGAGACAGGAACTTGCTCTGTTCCTCGGGCTGGAGCACAGTGGCACGATCACTGCTCATTGTAGCCTCAACCTTTTGGGCTCAAGCAATTGTCCTACCTCAGCCTCCTGCGTAGCTGGGACTATAGGCACAGACCACCATATCCAGCTTATGTTTTTGTATTTTTTGTAGAAACAGGGTCTTGCCATGTTGTCCAGGCTGGTCTTGAACTTCTGGCCTGAAGAAATCTTCCTGTCTTGGTCTCCCAAAGTATTGGGATTACAGACATGAGCTACCGCACCCAGACACAAAAAAAATTTCTATATAATAACAATAAAAATGGTAAAATAACTGGTAATATGCTAAACTTTTGGAGAACATTTATAAAACTAAATAATTCAGTATTAATTTAAAAAGCAATAGAAAATTATTCTAGAGGAATTTGTCAAAATGATTATAAATTTGATCTGAAAGGACAAACACATATGAATTGTCTGGGGAAAAACAATGCTAAAAATTGACTTTGACCTCTGTAGGACCAGTGTGAAATGTAAAGGATGAGTAACTGAATAGAAAAAACAAGGCTCAACAACTAAACGGAAGAGTATCTGGAAATAAACACTGCTGTCTCCCGCCAAAATACAAAAAAACCCACATATGCGCAAATGTTTCACACAAGTAAGATGAGAATTCGGATAACTGGGAAAGGTAGAGTTTATATATATGAAGAAAACAAAATTGCAACTTAGAGGTAAAGAGTAAGACTTTAAAACGCACACTCCAGATCAAGTGGCTCAAAAACTTAAGTACAAGAAATAAATACATTTCTTTATGAAAACTTTTTTATGATGTTTGAGTCTCTTTAATGAAAAGGTATGTTGTTTGTATTCTGAAAAAATGCTAAAGTAATGACAATAAATTAGGATTTTTATTGTGAAGAAGCGGGGAACATCACACACTGCTAGTGTAAGTACAAATTGAAACCATTTTTTTCTGTAAGCGTCTGGCATTTAGCAAACTTAAAAAATCCATCTTTTAGCCATTTTCATCAGTTTATTCTGAGGAAATAAATAGTATGAAGTGGGAATAATATATGAAGACATTAAATAAATTATTGCCATTGATTGTGAAAATAAACTAGAAACAATCTTAATGATCAACATTAATGGGTTGACTAAATCAAACATTGCTCAATTTACATTATACTCATTGATAATGGTGTAGCTTAGTTGTCTTTTCATGTAAAGATATACATAATATATTTTTAAGTAGGAAACATAGCACTGCCTGTTTACAAACATATATGTGCATAGATAAATTATAATCACGTGTAGTCAGCCTGGAAAGTTTTGGGTTGGGATAGGAAAAAAATGCGCCCAAAGGCAGAAATGAAGCTCAAGGTAGAGCAATCAGGAGATTTTGCTGAACTGAATGGAGATTGAAGAATCAGGAATACACTTTACCAGAGCATCCGTGAATCTGATTATTTATTTTACTCATCACATACTATGAACTTTGTATTTCATGCCTTTCCAAATAAGATGGACCACACTCGGATGGTTACCAGAGTTTAATGAAGACATCTTGAGTCTTTCTGTGACGCGCTCTGACAGGGGCGAGCCCCATGCTGCCCTTGCCCTCATGACACCTCTTCAACTTGTTTCTACAACTCTCTTTGTTGTTTTTATTTGCTGCATGCTTCTGCCTCCTCAAATATAATATGAGCTCTTTGAGGGTAGAGTCATCCTCTAAATAGTCCTTATATCAACAGCCATTAGCACAGCCTTGTATGTATTAGGTGGTCTATACATCAATTGATTACTCCTAGAACACTTTATCTTTTCCCATTTCAAACTCATACTAATAATTTGAGAGCACAAATGACAGAAGATTTGCTTTGATATCTTCTATGATATTGCATTGTGACAAGTGGCTAACTTTGAAGACCACTTAAATGCAAATAAAACTGATCTTTGGAAAAGAAAGCAAGCTAATGACGCAGTCCAGAAGGCAATAGGAATATGTAGGCCACTTGGTCCCTTCTAACCTCACAGGAAGTGTTATGCCCGTGCTTTCAACATAGCCAGACTGACAACATCTGACCAACCAACCATCACACGATAGCAAGAATGTTCCTGTCTTTCAGATACTGTCTCTTAGTGTGTCCAAAATGGGTCACAAAAAGCAATCAATAAAATAAGTTCACAAAAGAGTGACTGAATCTATCAAAATGCTATCAGGGTAGTTGACCATTTTTAAACATTTTTTCAAGAAAGTGATGTTTGTTTTAAATAAGTGAGTGGCACTTATGAATAAGAGCTCAACATTTATATACTCATAGACATAAAGATGGCAACAACAGAAAATAGAGACTGCTAGAAGGAAGATAGAGGGGCAAGGATCAAAAACTAACTATTGGGTATATGCTAGGTGCCTGTATGATGGGATCATTTACACCCCAAACCTCACCGTCACAAAATATTACCAGCTAACAAACCTGCACATGTACCACCTGAATCTAAAATAAAAGTTGAAAAAAATTTAAAAATTAAAAAAATTAAATACATACATGAGTGGGTATTTTATAGATGAAACAACAGAAAATGTACAGCCTTCCTCAAGTGTTTCCATGGTTATTGATGCCCAACTGGTGACTCCATTTAATTGTAAAAGTTCCACTTTTCCCTGAAAAATGTATTTTTAAGTGTGCTAAATGAAGAGTTTGACAGTATTCAGGAACAGTTCAACAGTAACCTATGTTTTTAGTTTTGACAACTAAGTTTTTGTCTAGTCTTTCCTTTGTTAGTTCAGTTAAAAGTATTTACCTCTGTACTCCTGGATTATGCTTAATTCATTTCCTTCAATCAAATCTTCTTAAAGTAAACATGCCAATTACTCATACCTCCACCAAAATTCCTACCTTCCAATCCCATTCGATTTAATTATTTTGATCATCTTACCTAATTCCCTGTAACTTAGAAGATATCACATTTGTGGGAACTGAACATGCACAAAATATCTGAATTATCTTAAATGAGTGAACTTCCCTATTTGTTTTTCTCCTACTCACACACATTATCTAAGAGAGCCAAATGGCTTTCTTACTGTGAGTATGGAGATATAAGTTGATGATAGTGGATCACTTACAGGTATAATATATCCAGAGAGAGGAATATTAGGTAAAGACAAAATTGTTTACAAACAACTTCACAAGAGGTGAGACCTTAGAAACAAGAGATAAAAGGGAACCTTCTTGATCTTCTTTTTTTCTGTCTTCATATTAGTATCTTTCCTTGAAAAGATGAGAGGAGATCCAGGTTAAAAGGCAAAAGCTTCAAAAAAAAAAAGAGAGTGCCAGTTAGAGGTATTTGAAGATGACCACTTAACTGAAGGCATGGATGTCATACTTCAGCACTGTGCACACAGCTCCAGGAACCAAAGAGGGAAGAGTTTAAGTAATCTAGTATGTGACATCATAAACATCCTGAGATTTCTCATGGAGAAAACTCCTTCTAATAATCCAGAAGGAATATCAACTAAACTGGTTCTGATGGGTACTGAAAACTGTACTCAAAACATGTAAGTGGCAAGCAGAGAATGTGTTCCACAACAAATGCCTGGGCTGCCTCCTCTGCAGTTTGTTTGTTTGTTTTGTTTTTAATTAACAGCTTGAGAACAGCTGTTTAATGCATGTTTCATCACAAAACTCTGTTGTTTGTTTCCCTAGAGGGCAAATGAGTAATATTGGAAAAATACCCAAGGAAGAGAAGAGAAGTTTTTTATGTGGTCATTTAATTTCTCACTTTAACAATAGTCATGATCTAATCTTTTCATTTTTCTCTTGCATTAAGCAGCTTCCCAATAAACATCACTCATTTACTAAATGTCACTAAGAAAAACTTTTAATTGCCAATTCAGTAAAGGTACCAAACAATCTTTTAAGAAAATATATCAGGCAGGCTCTTGATGAACAGGTTAGTGTAAAAATCCAACTTATGGAAACTATTGCTACAAAACCCTTTTGAACACATGATAAGAGATGAAGTTGATGAAAATCACTTTATACTCGATGGGTGGCTCTCATTCTCCTGAGCTCAGGCGACCTGCCTGCCTCGGCCCCCGAAACTGCTGGCATTATAGGCGTGAGCCACTGTGACCGGCCTGGTTGCATTCTCTTGATGCATAAGGTGTACGGTTATGAATCATTTTTGTTTAGTCTTCTCATAGTAATATATATGAATGTAAATTATATTGTATTACCGATGTATCAACTTTAAATGATAAATCTATGCCTGGTTTAAAAGATGAAATTAACACGTGCATATGTGCTGTTTTCCAACATTCTATTTTTTTGCCTGCTAAGTTTTGTTAGTTATATTTTGCTACTTATCTTGTGACACATCATAACATACACATTCAATTTTTAACTGTAGAGATATCAACTGGGCTTTAAATGTGTTTAATCGTAAAACCTAAAGAAAACGAAACAGCATGTAAAATAGTTTGTGTCAATGTTAGTTCCAAGAAAAGGAAACAATGTGACTTAAAGGTTTAATGGATTCTTGACTCTTTTCCATTTCAGATTGCCTCTCTCTGCGCCTTCCACCATCCACCTCAGATTTCCTTATTCATATACATGGCAACTTCTATTAGTTTTTTTTAAGGGATACTACTCATGTGAAAATGCCTACATCTTAGTTTTAGCACATACACACATATATATAAATGTAACAAATATTTATATGTACATAAATATATATTTATGTGTGTGTGTATATAGAGAAAGAGAGGATATGAGTTGTAAAGTAAAAAATGCAAACATAGACAATGACAATATTAGGTAGCCATAACTGGAAACACTTTATATGTACAAAAGAGAATCATGACAGGCATAATAAGCTCAGTTATGTTATTTTAAAGGAATCAAAATTTGGAAGGAGGAGGAACAAGACGGCAGAATAGAAGGCTCCCCCAATTGTTCCCACTGCAAGGACACCAATTTAATAACTGCCTACACACAAAAAGCACCTTTATACAAACAAAAATCAGGTGAGCACTCACTGTACCTGGCCTTAACTTTATATTGCTGAAAGAAGCACTGAAGAGATAGAAAAACAATTGTGAATTGCAAATGCACCCTTGCCTCATTCCCCAGCAGCATCAGCATGGTGCAGAGAGCAATTCTGTGCTCTGGGGAGAGGGAGAGCACAGCAATCGTGAGTCATTGAACTCAGCGCTGCTCTGCTGGAGCAGAAAACAAAGCTGGACCAAACTCAGCTGATGCCCATCCATGGAGGGAGCATTTAGACTAGCCCGAGGGCAATTACCAATCCCAGCCGTCTGAACTTGAGTTCCTGCAAGCCTTTCCACCATGGACTAAAGTGCTCTGGGGCCTTAAAAGAAACATGAGAAAAAGAAACCAGGCCACAATGACCACAACTCCTAAATGAGTCCAAGTGCTGACCTGGCCCAGAGCCTGTGGACTATGGGGGGACACAACCTACTGAGACACCAGCCAGAGCAAGTAAGGGGGTGCTGGAACCCCTCCCCTAGCCCCAGGCTGCACAGTTTGTGGCTCCTAAAAAACCCCTTCCCTCCACTTGAGAAGATAAGAAAGAGTGAGGACTTTTTCTTGCATCTTGGAATCAGCTCAGCCACAGCAGGAGAGGGCACCAATCAGAGTCATCAGAAATCGCTACAACTAATCAGTACCACTGTGCCAAAGCTTTGAGAATTTCATCATTGATCTAATCATTGCTCCACCCCCTAGCTCCAGGCCCCAGATTGTGGACATTTCTAGACACTCCTTGGGCCAAAAGGGAACCTGTTATTATGAAGGGAAGAACCCAATCCTGGAAGCATTCATCACCTGCTAACTGAAGGGCCCTTGAGCCCTGAATAACCAGCAGTGATACCCAGGTACCACGTTGAGGACCTTAGGTGAGCCTCTGAGATTACTGGCTCACAGATGAGACTCAGCACATTCCCACATGTGGTGGCTATGGGGTGAAACTCCTTCTGCTTTAAAAAAAAAAAGTGGAGGAAAGAGTAAACGGGACTTCGTCTTGGACTTTAGGTATTAGCAAGGCCTTAGGAGGGTAGAGCACCAAGTGGGCTCTTGGTTTCCTCAATTCTCGGACTTGGCTCTTGGGCAGCATTTCTGGTCCTTCCCTGGGCCAGAGGGGAGCCCACTGTCCTGAAGGATGAGTCCCAAGCCAAGGAGCCTTCCCCACAAGCTGACTGAAGAGCGCTTGGGCCTTGAGGGAACATCAGCAGTAGACTGGCAACACTTCCCATGGGCATGTGCTGGCCGTGGCCATAGGGTGAGGCTCCTCTGCTTTTGAAAGGGAAGGGGAGAGTGGGAAAGACAGTATCTTGTGGTTTGAGTGCCAGCTCAGCTGCAATACAACAGAATATCGGGTAGATTTCTAAGGTTTTTTACTTTTGTCCCTGGCTCCCAGATGTCACCTCTGGACCTTCCTGGGGCCTACGGGACCTTGATACCCCGAAGAGAAAGATACAGGCCTGGCTGGCTTTGTCACCTGCTGATTTTAGAGCTGCAGTGCCCTGAGCAAACATGAGTGGTAGTCAGGAAGTGGTTACAGCAGGCCGTGGCTGAGATTCAGTGTTGTGCTAGCTGCAGGCCTGAACCAGGGCACTTTTAGTGGTGGTTGCCACGGTGGTGCTTGTATAACTCCACTCTTATCTCCAAGTGGCTCAGAACACAGACAAAGATTTCATTTGTTTGGGAGAAAGTAAGGGAAGAGAACAAGAATCTTTGTCTGGTAATCTGTAGAATTCATCCAGATCTTGTTCAAGAATATCAAGGCGGTACCTCAATGAGTCTCAAGAACTACAGAATTACTGGGCTTAGTGTGCCCCCTAAGGTAGACACAGCTTAGATCACAACACACATGTACTTTTGAATATCTTGAATGCCTTCCCAAGTAGGATGTGTACAAAAAGCCCAGATAGTGAAGACTACAATAAATACGTAACTCTTCAATGCCCAGACACTAAACATCTACTATCATCAACACCATTCAAAAAAACATGACCTTACCAAATAAACTAAATAGCCAACAGGGAACAATCCTGGAGAAACAGAGATATGTGACCTTTCAGACAGGGAATTCAAAGTAGCTGTTTTGAGGAAACTCAGGGAAATCCAAGCTAACACAGAGAGGGCATTCAGAAGTCTATCAGATAAATTTAACAAAGAGATTGAAAACATTAAAAAGAATCAAGCAGAAATTCTAGAGCTGGAGAATACAATTGGCATGCAATACACTAGAAAGATCACTCATCATGACCAAGTGGGATTTATCCCTGAGATGCAAGGATGGTTCAACATAGGCAAATTTATCAATGTGATGAATCATATTAACAGATGAAGGATAAAAGCCATATGATCATTTAAATTGATGTTAAAAAAAAGCACTTGATAAAATGCAACATCCCTTCATGATAAAAACCATTAAAAAACTGAAGATAGAAGGAGCATAACTCAACATAATAAAAGCTATATATGACAGACACACAGCTAGTATACTGAATAGGGAAAAACTAAAACCCTTTCCTCTAAGGTCTAGATTATGACAAAGATGTCCACTTTCTCTACTATTATTCAATATAGCACTGGAAGTCTTAGCTGGAGCAATTAGACAAGAGAATGAAATAAAGGGCATCCAAATTGGAATGGAAAAAGTAAAATTATTCTTGTTTGTGGATGATATCACCTTATATTTGGAAAAACCTAAAGACGTTACCAAAACCTCTTGGAACTGATGAACAAATTCAGTAAAGTTGCAGGATACAAAATTAACATTTAAAAGTCAGAAGCATTTCTATCTGCCAACAGTGAACAATATGAAAAAATGTAATCTCATTTATCATAGCCATGAATAACATTAAATACCCAGGTATTAACTTAACCTCAGAAGTGAAAGATCTCTACAATAAAAACTATAAAACACTGATCAAACAAATTGAAGAGGAAACAAAAAAATGGAAAGATATTCCATGTTCATGAATGGGAAAAATAAATATTCTTAAAATGTCCATACTATCTAAAGCAGTATACAGATTCAATGCAGTCCCTATCAATATACCAATGACATTTTTTACAGAAATGGAAAAAACAATCCTAAAATTTATAGCAACCCATAAAAGACCCTGAATAGACAAAACTATCTTTAGCAAAAACCACAACTAGAGGAATCACATTAATTGACTTCAAATTATACTACAGAGCTATATAAACAAAATAGCAGGATACTGGCACAAAAACAGACACACAGACCAATGGAACAGCATAAAGACCCAAAAAGGAAATCCACACACCTACAGTTAACTCATTTGCAATCAAAGATGCCAAGTACATACATTGGGGAAAAGACAGTCTCTTCTATAAATGTGCTGGGAAAACTGGATATTCACATGCAGAAGAATGAAACTACACCCCTATCTCTTGCCATATACAAAAATCAAATCAAAATGGATTAAAGAGTTAAATCTAATACCTCAAATTATGAAAGTACTACAAGAAAACATTGGGAAAAGTCTCCAGGACATTGGTCTGGGCAAAGATTTCTTAAGTAATACCCTACAAGCACAGACAACAGAGCAAAAATGGACAAATGGGATCCCATCAAGTTAAAAAGCTTCTGCACAGCAAAGGAAACTTATCAATCAATGAAATGAATAGACAATCCACAGAATGGGAGAAAATATTTGCAAACTACCCATCTGACAAGGGATTAATAACCAGAGTATATAAGGAGCTCAAACAACTGTCTAGAAATCTAGTAATGTAATTATAAAATGGGCAAAAGATCTGAATGCACATTTCTCCAAAGAAGACATACGAATTGCAAACACGCATAGAAAAGGGTGCTCAACATCATTGATTATAAAAGAAATGCAAATCAAAACTATAATGAGATATAATCTCACCCCAGTTAAAATGGCTTACATCCAAAAGGCAACAACAAATGCTGGCAAGGATGTGGAGAAAAGAAAACCATTGTACACTCTTGGTGAGAATGTAAATTAGTATAACCACTATGAAGAATGGTTTGGAGGTTCCTCAAGAAACTAAAAACAGAGCCATCATATGATCCATCGATCCCCCGGGGATATACCCAAAATAAAGGAAAAGAGATCAAAGAGATATCTGCACTCGTATGTTTGTTGTGGCACTTTTCACAATAGTCGAGATTTTGAAGCAACCTAAGTATCCATCAACAGATAAATGGATAAAGAAAATGTGGTACTTATACACAATGGAGTACTATTCAGCTATAAAAAATAATGAGATCTTTTAATTTGCAACAACATGGATGGAACTGGAGGTCACTATGTTAAGTGAAGTAAGCCAGGCACAGAAAGACACACATTGCATGTTCTCACTTATTTGTGAGATCTAAAAGGAGAATTAATTTATTTCGGGAAAGGAAGAACGGTTTCTTGTTCTGTTTAATAAACCTTGACATTGAGATGCACTCAAGAGCCTGGGGTAGAAGTGGAGAAATGACCCACATTACCTCTGCCCTTCTAAAGCCTAGAGCAGGCAGATCAGGTCACTCCAGGTGAAAAGAACACTCAGGAGTGGATGGAGCAGGCAATGTGCCCTTTAAGAGGAGCAGGGCAGAAGTCTTCAAGGAATGATAAAATCATTGCCCAAAAGTTATGAATTTCCTGTACAATATAAAATGTTCTCAGCCACATAACAAAACTCAAGAGAATTCTACAAAGTTTGAAATATGCAGTCCATATCCCTAAGCCATATTGAATTAAACCAAGAAAACAACTTAACAAAAATATATGCATTAATGACCACAGTTATGATCAATAATTACAGCAATAGGCCAGATGCCGTGGCTCATGCCTGTAATCCTAACACTTTGGGAGGCCGAGATGGGTGGATCACTTCAGACCTGGAGTTCAAGACAAGCCTGGCCAACATAGGAAAACTCCATCTCTACTAAAAATACAAGAAATTAGCTGGGTGTGGTGGCCCACGCCTGTAATCCCAGCTAGTCTGAAAACTGATGGATGAGAATCCCTTGAAGCCAGGATGTGGAGGTTGTCTCCAGCCTAGGGGACAGAGCAAGACCCTGTTAAAAAAAAATTACAGCAATGTCCAGATGCACAGTTTCCTTGTACAGTCTCTCTAGTTCAAGAAAATTGTATTAGCGTTCATGTATACTGATTTGAAACTTGTATTTAAATTCATTTCACTTATGTTTTACAAATGATTTTTTTTATTTTTATTTTGAGACAGAGTCTCACTCTGTTGCCCAGGCTGAAATGTGGTGGTATGATTCATGGCTCACTACACCCTCAACCTTCTGGGCTCAACTGATCCTCCCATATCAGCCTCACAAGTAGCTTGGACTATAGATACCTGCTACCATGCCAGGATAATTGTTTTATTTTTTGTAGAGATGGGGTCTCAGTATGTTGCCCAGGCTAGTCTTGAACTCCTGGACTTAAGCAATACTTCCACCTCCGCCTCCCAGAGTGTTGGGATTACAGGTGTGATCCACCATGCCTGGCCCCAAATGATTTTGATTTCCCTTTTCCCCTATGTAAGTTTACTTCATTGTCCTGATTCTTCTATGTAATTTTTATTCCACTAGCCGTTCCCTAAATTTTTCTTTTCAATATTAAATGATGTTTTCAAAATATAAATTTCACTGTTAAGTATTTTGAACAAATCGTATTTATGACTTCATGGTAGACATTTACTTAATACAATTTTTCCTATTTCCCTCCCACCTCCATAAGGCAGGGAGTGATCTTTCACTTGGTGAGGACCCTGCAAGACCAATTCTCATTTGTTTTAAAAACACATTTGTCTCTTGGTATTCATTGTGGGGTTTGGTTCCAGGACACCTTGTAGGTACCAAAACCTGAGGATGCTTAAGTGCCTTATATAAAATGCTGCGGTATGTGCATGTAAGCTATGCACATCCTCTCACATACTTTAAATCATCTTTAGATTACTTATTATACCTCATGCAAGGTCTATATATCACTTCATTGGAATTGATTCAACATAGTGCTCAGAACATGGCAAGTTTTGCTTTTTGGAACTTCAGAACATTTTTTTCTGAATATTTTTTATCTGCAGTTGATTGAATCCACACATGCAGAACTCGGATAAAGAGGGCTGACTGTATTTACTAAAAGCTTTTGTAATTCATCTCTGCTTACTCTACCACTGAAGTAATTCATTCTCAACATATCTTTTGTGAAACTCGTTAATCAGTATCTGTGGAATGGGAATAACCATAGCTATTAGAATGTGTACCTTCTACACCCGGTAGCTCTGTCACCATCATGGAGCTGTTTGTTTACTGCAGTTACATGTCTCCTGTCACACTGGAATGCTCATTGTTCTTTTTCCTTCCTTTACCGAAATATAATTGCAAAATTAAATAAATATGTTTTGAAACAAGCCTAAATTGAACAAATTATTCTGAAAAACAAAATAAAAGATAAGTTTTATAAAAATTGAGTAAAATGTGGATGGTAACAACATTTTTTAAAATTATCAAACAGGCCAGGCATGGTGGCTCATGCCTGTCATCCCAACACTTTGGAAGGCCAAAGTGGGCGGATCACCTGAGGTCAGGAGTTTGAGACCAGCCTGGCCAAAATGGTGAAACCCAATCTCTACTAAAAATACAAAAAATTAGCCAGGCATTGTGGCAGGCACCTGTAATCCCAGCTAGTGAGGGGGTGAGGCAGGAGAATCGCTTGAACCCGGGAGGTGGAGGTTGCAGTGAGCCGAGATTGTACCATTGCATTCCAGCCTGGGCAACAAGAGTGAAACTCTCAAAAAAAAATTTTTTTTAAAATTATCATACAAATCTATTATAATAGGAACTCTGAATGATTTTTAAACATTTTTGAATTTACAGGTCACATTTTAAAACTGTAAATCATTTGACTATTTATTTTCATGCATAAGAGCTAATGAAAATTTTCTGTGAAAGGAAACCGACTCTAAATAAAATGTATGATTATTTTTCACACACACACACACACACACACACACACACACACACACACACTGCCCTGTGGAAATATTTTGAAGCACATTTAAAATGTTATTTCATAAAAATAAAATTTAGAAATAAGGAGGACTTAGAACTAATAAAATAAATTATACACTTCCCCTATCAAAAATGAGCTAAAATTATTCTCAAATGAACACACATGCTTTTCAAAGTTTTTTTAAATCAACAATGCAAATATGTTGGAAACAGACAACTAAAAATTTTTTTTAAGTCAAACAAAGACAATTTGGTAAATCTGAAAGCAAGAGGCTGAAATACAGCTTTAGACAGGGTATTTTCTCCCAGCCAAAACTGAAACTTAAAATCATGTTTTAAAATAAGAAACACTGAAAGAGTCAAAGCATCAACCAAGAACTGACCAGGCCCATTATGTTACATGTTTTTAGAGAAGTTGTCTTCTTGGAATAAGTTGAAAAATTATTGTGAATTATTTGGAAATACTATTTCTCAAGATTTTGCCTAGTTCCATGGGATAACCCTATGTGAAAATAAATTTCTCTCATAGTCTTCCAAACAAACAGCGCCACTTAAAAATAATTTATTCAAGTGAACTTCATGCAATGTAATTAACCATTTTAAAGTGAACAATTCAGTGGTATCTTATACATTCACAATATTGGGCAACAACAACCTCTAGTTCCAAAACATTTCCACGATCCCAAGCTGTAAAACCCCTTACTCATTAAGCAGTAATAAGTGTTGGTGAGAATATGGAGAAATTAAGACTCATGCATTGCTGGTGGAAATGCAAAATGTTTCAGCCATAGTTGAAAACAGTTTGACAGCTTTTCAAAACACAAAGTATAGAATTATTATATTACCCTGCTATTCCACTCCTAGTTATATATGTAAAAAGTACCACTTTTAAATTAATACTCTGATATTCAACGCAATAGATATACATTTATAGAAATTATACATTAACAACAGTTAGCAATTGTAACAGTAAGTTAAAATATGTACATGAATTATTTTCAGAGTAAATGCAAGTTAACATTTTGCAGTCACCAGATAGAAAGAACTACTTATATAAAATTGATTTTTAAAAAATCTGAGCAGCAACTGACTCGTCAGCAAATTTGTTGGAAGCTGAAAGACAGAAACTTTTCAACTATTGACAAGGAGTGTAACTCAAGAAGTTGATATACAGCAAGGTGTCAAGAGAAATATAATTACAGGTGTGCAAGAAAGAATAAATCCATCAAATAAAGAAGAAAAGAAACTATGGAGAGCACAAACCTTTGTCATCTGTGTATACCATATAGATGGTCTGTATATGTGTATGCTATTTCCAAAGAGCAAATGTCTTCAAGTTACAAGCACAAAAGAACTTTGAGGTTTCATTCAAATGCCTGTTCAAGCTATGAGGTTTTTTCAACCTTCCTAGACTTTCAAATGACCTCCCAGCACATTCAGTCCAGAATCAGTCGTTACTAACATGCCTAGATCCTACTCACAGCTAGAGCTCTCAGTCAAGGTAAAGCCTCGGGGCCTCACCTGTTCTGCCTGTATCAGGTCAAGGAGTCGGCCCCGAGAGTGGGGAGACAGGACCCAGCATCCTCTGCCTCCCCCAGCTCATGCATTCTTCAGTTTAGCCCACTGTACCCTCAAAGTTGGAGGTGGGAGGGAGGGAAGTTGTCTCCATGTCCTCACCAACACTTGTTATCTTTTGTCTTTTTGATAATAGCCATTCTAACAAGAGTGAAGTGATATCTCATTGTGGTTTTGTTTTGTGTTTCCCTGATGACTAGTGATAATAAGCATTATTTTTCATATACCTGTTGGCCATCTGTCTGTCTTCTTTCCAGAAATGTCTATTCAGGTCTTATGCCCATTTTTAAATTGTGTTATTTATTTTCTTACTATTGAGGTTTCTGAGTTCCTGATATATTTTTTCTATTAATCCCTTATCAGATAATATAGTTTACAAATACTTTATCTAATTCTGTGGGTTGTCCCTTCACTCTATTGATTGTTTCCTTTACTGTGCAGAACCTTTTTAGTTTTGCATAATCTGATTTGTTTATTTGTGCTTTTGTTCCATGGGAGTTTGAGTTTATATCCAGAAAAACATTGCCCAAACCAATGTCACAGAGCTTTTCCCTATATTTTCTTCTAGTAGCTTTACAGTTTCGGGTCTTATATCCAAGTTTAATTCATTTTGAATTGATTTTTGTATATGGTGTGAGAAAAGGGTTCAATTTTGTTCTTTTGCATGTGGATATCTAATTTTTCCAGTATCATTTGTTGAAGGAACAGTCCTTTCCTCAGGTGTGTTTTTGGCACATTTGTCAAAAATCAATTGACTATAAATGTGTGGGTTTATTTCTCGGCTCTAAATCCTGTTCCACTGGTCAATGTGCCTTTTGTAATGCGTGTACCATGCTGTTTTGAGTGTCATAGCTTTGTAATATATTTAGAAAAAAAGTAGTGTGATGCTCCCCTTTTGTTCTTACTGTTCATATAAATCATTTTTTTCTCCAGTTCTGTGAAAAATGACATTGAAATGTGACAAGAATGTCATTAAATGTATAGACCCCTTTGGGTAATATGAAAAATTTAACATATTAATTCTTCCAATCCATGAATATGGGATAGTTCTCATTTATTGGTGTCTTCTTTAATTTCCTACATCAATGTTTTATGTTTTTCAGTGTAGATATTTAACCCTTTTGGTTAAATTTATCCCAAAGTTTTTGTTTGTTTGATTTGACACTATTATAAATAAAATTGTTTTTAAATTTCTTTTTCAGGTAGTTTGATGTTAGTGCATAGAAAAATTATTGATGTATGTTGATTTTGATTTCTGCAACTTTATGTGAAGGCTTTCAATTGTTCTAACAGAGCTTTTGTGGAGATTTTAAGTTTTACATGTTTAGGATCATATTGTCAAGAGGAAAGCAGAATCTGTAAATCTGAAGCCACTTGATTTTTCACAAGTTGGACACAGGCAATTGGAAAATGATACACCTGCAACTAGGTCTGTAATTATAATCCAATTGGTTTGACAAAGTCTCACATCCCTGCATACCCCAAACATTTCCTCTCCCTAAGTCCCTCCTGGTGGTAAGGTACACATCGTTCCACTGAGTTCGTGCATTTCACCATCCTCACTCACCTGGTCTGCCTGCCACCAGGTTTGCACTTCTCCAATCTATTGTCACCAAAGTAATATTTCTGAAATGCAAGACTGATCATTTTCTACTGTTTGTAAACATCTGGGTCACAGAAAGCAAGGAATTATTCCACAAAATAAAACAGGAAAGAAGGCACGATTAGAATATTTGCCACTCCTGCTTGGTCAATTGTCTGACCTTTGCTCTTGCTGTGCCTTTTCCCAGGCATAATCACATCCCTGACAAAGTCCCTCCCCCTTCCCCAGCCATGTGTAGTTATCTGAGGGGAACAGCTAGGCACCTTTAACACTGAGCTCCTGGGGCTGCACTCAGCATCTTCTGCTTGATTGAATGTGCACAGCACAGGAAGAAGCGAGGTGCCAGAATGAGCTATACCCTTTCCACATGTGCATCAAAGCATTTCATACACTTTATAGCACCTATTTGCACACAGAATTACTAGTTCAAATTTCTTGGGGAAAGCAGTATGTAGTATTCACCTTTGAATTTTCTTTAGTGAATATTTTAGATTTAATATAGCATAACAAATATTTACTGGATAAATGAACAATTGGATATTTGATACTCTACCTCTTCTTATTTGTCTAATAAATTACATACTTCAAAACTCAGCTCAGATGTCACTTTGTGCTGGAAATCTTCTCTAAAGCTTCTTTTCACCCCAGGCTAATATGTTTTCCACAGTCTCTTAACGGAATTCGGGATTCAAAACCCAGCACTTGATGAAGACTGTTAACCTCAATAACAGACCTTAATCTTTCAGGAACCAACCATGTGGGCCAAGACAGCCTCCAATAAGGGTGGACAAATGGCTGGATTGTCTCAGCAGTGAATAACTACATTGCAATCAGCAAGTTTTCTAAGATATTATATCATGTGTACTGCTCAAAAAAGGTGGGAGGGAGGGGACATATTTTAATTATTTATTTAAAATTAATTTCAATTTTACAGAAAATTAGCATAAATAAAAGTAGTACAAAGAACATCTATATGAACCCTTTTTCTTCCTCATTTCTCCCTCTCTCTCAATTTTATGCCTTATAACCTTTATCCTCTAAGTAGTATCATTATGTATTCCCAGAATATGAAAATATCCTATAGAATTAGAAAGTAGTTATGAACTTCAGTAACTGTAACATCAATATAATATGACTGAATAATGCATTTTGAAGTGAGACGGAGTGTAAATTGAAAAGTTTCTAGTACAGGAAAGCGATTTCTAAAAGAGGTGTGAAAATGAGATCAAACACCATGGCAGTCTTGGAGTCTGGGAAATAACACTGGTATAACATTCTCATATGTGAAGTGCAGAGAGAAGGAAAAGTAAATTACTCTCAAAATGGTCTACTCCATAGCTTTTTGAAAGGCAGGTTCCACTGTTAACATTTTCTTCAGAGCCCCCATGACATCCTTATTCCTAAGACTATAGATTAAAGGGTTCACCACTGGAGTGAGGATGGTATAGAAGACAGATACCATCATGTCCTTCTCAGGGGTGTGGTAGGAGCTGGGGAGCATGTAGGTGTAGATGGCAGCCCCATAGAAGAGGATGACCACAGTCAGGTGGGAGGAGCAGGTGGCAAAGGCCTTTTTCCGGCCCTCTGCTGAGTTCATCCCGTGGATGGTGAGGAGGATGAGTAAATAGGAGCTTGAAATGATCACCACAGGGATGAGGAGCATGAGGACACAGCACAAGTACATGAAAATCTCATAGAGTGAGGTGTCTGAGCAGGAGAGATTCAATACAGCAGGAACTTCACAGAAGAAATGATGAATCTCCCGGGATCCACGGAAGGGGAAGGTCATGGTGATGGGAGTGAATGTGAAGCCATCCACTGAGCCCAGGAACCAGCAGCCTGATGACAGGAAGAGACACACCCTATGGTTCATGAGGACAGGGTAACGGAGAGGATGGCAGATGGCCACGTAGCGGTCATAGGCCATGGTGGCTAGAAGGAAAAATTCTGAACCTGCTAGTGTCACGTAGAAGAACATCTGCATCCCACACTCAGGGGCTGAGATCTTATTCACACCCATGACCTGGTCCAGGAGCATCTTGGGCACAGTGACAGAAATGTACGCCATGTCCATGAGAGACAATTGACTGATGAAAAAGTACATGGGGGTGTGGAGGTGGGCGTCACAGTGTATCAGAAGGATCAGGACAGCATTTCCAGACAACGCCATCAGGAAAACCACAAAAATGACCACACAAAGTAGTGCTGGATGTTTGGATTGTCTGAAGAGTCCCAACAGGATGAAATCCGACCATCCAGTGTGGTTGGCCATCCAGGTGATATTGGCCATTGGATGTTTGGATTGTCTGAAGAGTCCCATCAGGATGAAATCCGACCATCCAGTGTGGCTGGCCATCCAGGTGATGTTGTCCATGAGGTTTCACCTAGGCCACAAAGGAAAGCTTGGGGTTAAAGTAATTTGAGCCTCTGAAACAAATTGTGTGTGTGTGTGTGTGTTCTAACCAAAGAAAGGCCCATGGGCCTGTAGATTTGGGTGTTATAAATTATCTGCAATTCAAAAAATTTACCAGGAACTAAGAATTCACAACTGTGGATCAAAAGGGTGATTTGTAGTGAAGTTGCCACAGTTCTGAGTCATGAGATTTCCCGATGAGAGTGTCTGTTATAAACAAGTCCTGGAAACTGGCAGTGTCACTGCCTTATGCAGACATGAATAGTGAATTATTGAAAACAAAGGAGAATTTTGTCCCCCTGTTTTTAGAGTTGTTTAGAGAAGTCTAAAGTGAATTACATTCTCTGGTTTAAGGATCCATCTGGAATCTTAAAAACTCCCAAAAGTGTATTCCATATAGGAATGATTTAGAACATGACTAAAATATCACTTGTGGAAAATCCATACCAAACATTTGCACCCTTCTACCCACAGTATTGGACAATGCTGTGAGGCTCTGTGGTTTCGTGGAGCAAAACCCCACACATCCCCATGAGCAAGCCAGGGTCCTCCTACACACCAGACTCCTCAGAAACCAGAGTCGCATGGGGTGAGGAGCCCAGGGACCGTGGCTGGACTGCAGGGTGGACCCAGCTTCCCCTCTACCTGCTATTCCTCTGTTTACTGCACATAAAAATAGATGGTAAGAAAAGGTTTGACCTCAGGGTTGATGAAGATTAAATGCAGAAAAGTAATGAAAGTGCTTAGAATATTACCAGTTACAAATGAACAAATACATACACTGTCAAAGAGTTAATATCTACACAAATTATTCTGCAGACTGTATTACTATAATCATCTTATGATATGAGCTTCATTACTTCAGTTTGCTGATTTTATCATTTAGTCAGACTTGTAAGAATTTGGATTTGATAATTTCTCTAGTCCCAGACAACTTGTATGTATACAGTTTACATTTATTTTATATAAATTTATAGATATGCATTTTTATATATGTGCAGATTTACAAATATAAGAATACATTGTATATGCATATTTACAAATAGAAATGCATATATTAATGTAAGGTATGTCTCTTATTTTCATGTTGAGCAGAGATTTATGCAGAATCCACCTTCTTTGTGACTAGTGCATGCTTCTCCAAGCTTAACTCCTTAAAGCTCCTGTCATTCGCATTAAATCTCAGGGGGGCATAACTGGGATTTAGAAACTCCCTGCTATTTACCAGGTAAGGCTTTTGGTGTTTTTGCAAATATCTGCTTTATTGCCTGCTACAGTGAATTTTTTCACGGAAACTGTGAGGCAGAAAAGAAAATAAAACACTAAGATGTCTCTCACTTCAATTAAATTCCTTCCTCTATCTTGCTACTCACAGCCTGACTCTGTGTTAGCTAGTGCAGGAATCAAAGACAAATTATATTTGATTAAGCTTGAGGAGGTCACAGTCAGTCTATTCAGGAAAAAACATATAAACATGATTTAAAGTACAACTTCAGATTAGAATAGCTATGAGCTACATTAACAAGGCTAATAGAAGCAAAATACATTTAACCTTTCTGAAGAGAATCACTGATAACTCCTACATTTTCTCTTAAGAAGATTAAAACTTTGCAACTTTTCGATTTCTGACATGTTGTTAAATTTTAGTATTTATCAATAGGAAGAAAATATAGGGTCCTTTTTCAGGGAAGACTTTAGCAGTGGTTATCATACAGTCATATTTCAGGAAGAATTTCCAAGTTTCAAATACATTTTGAATTCTTTTAATAATTCTAATTAGACTTATTAATATTTTCAAGTTTTGGAGAATAATAATTAGATGCGGAGACTGGGCAGCTGTTTGCTAAGTGAATGGAGGGAGACCAAGAGGGCAGTGCGGGATGGGAGGTGGATGCTGGGCAAATCTCTGCTGCACTTTTGTAAATGGAAGTCCCTGTCATTAAGCCACGCTGAACAGCTGACCTGGGACACCAGATCAGTGAGGGAAAACTGTGACTGCAGCATGCAGCACAACTGGACTTTTTCTTTCTTTTATTTTTCTTGATCACATTGCTTGAGTTTCCAAACAGCACAATGCATGTTTAACCCAGGGAATAATTAATAGTGGTGGTAGGGCAATATTGAGCATTTATGTGAAGCTTACAGTATCCTAGGAATTGTTCTTAATGCCAGTTTACCACATTTAATTTTCCTCAAGAACCTATGAGGTATATAATCTAATTTCACCATTTACAGATTTAAAAGTTCAAGTTCTGGGGTATCTATCTAACATCACACAGCTAACCCCATGGAGTAAGTACATCGGTGCAGGTGCGGGACCCAGAGCATGTCACTTACCTCAGTTCTCTTGGGGACACAGTCCTGCTTCCGTAGACTAAAATTTGGGTTTTAGATAACTCACTATTGGTTTCACCAGGGAAACATAAATATGATTGAAACATTTGTTGCTAGTGTTTTCTAACTCTAAGACCTAATTTCCATTCAAAGAAAAATTAGTTGTTTTTCCTCTGCAAAATTTTCATCCCACTAAAACAAATGTATCATTCAATAACAGAGGAAGAATATATATGATTTTGTCCATAAATACTTTGGAAATGAAAAACCCGTTTACTAATATGTTGCAGTAAATAAGTATTATATAAAATGAGACTCAAAGGAAAAATAAAACAGATTGGCTTTTCTCCATAAAAATAGATGATAGAGGGAAATGAGGAAATACAGTCAAGAACTAATAGAAATGTTTCAAAAGCAGAACAAGTCAAGAACCGTGACCATCTTTTGTTCCTGCAATACTGTCTACCTATCTGGTGTAACTCACCATCAGATGATGTCTTGACCCTCATTTGGAGGGGCTCATGGTGTGTGGCTGGCTTAAGTGTGCAAAGAAAAACAAAAGTGACATCATCCCTGGCTTCACTGTGTCCATTAGGGGTGTAGATAAAAGTTTTCTGTTAATAAGTCCTCTCTGGGGTTTTGAAGACGAATGCAAATAAAGGAGCTAAAGAAGCTAATAGATATCTCTGTTGCCCTTTTCTGATTTTCTTCTCATTTTTTTTTAAGCGACAGAATCTTACTATGTTGCCCAGGCTGGAGTGCAGTAGATTTTTACAGGTGAGATCACAGTGCACAAAGGCCTCGACCTCCTGGCCTCAAGTGAACCCCCTCCACATCACTCTCCTGAATAGCTGGTACTACAGACACACACCACTGTGCCCAGCTGTTTTGTTGTTGTTATTTAATCTTCTTTTATTGTTAAACTGAAAATCTCAACAAATATTAACAATAATCTCAAAGTTAGCCATTACTAATGAATTTTTACCTATGATATATGAGTTAGTTATATATGGCCTTTTGTGTTTTACACAATATTTTCATGTGTATGTGCCTCCTCCTTTAAACTTTAGGAAATTTTTATAAAATATTGCTATTTGTGTTCCAATCTTTCACAAATATAGGCTTTGAAACTCAGAGTTCAGTTGATGTGTCAAAGAGAGTATCGCTGATCAGTAATGAACTCCATACTAAAATTGAGGTTGTCTTTTTCACATCTTCATTGCTATCACTCTTCATTAGCTTGTTATGTTCTTTCTTCTGTTATTCACCTGCAAGCTCTGTTACTTTAGTGATGCATTTAATTTTAAAGTTTGTTTTTATTTTAAATATTGATATGACTAAAAAATCTAAAATCACAGTCTAGTACAAATAAAATTTAAAAATCAACCATAATGTAATAGTTCAGATAGAAACAAAACTTTAAAATTCATGTCTTGACTTCATACTATGAATATTTATGAAGTGTACACCATGTAGCAGACAGTTGGAATAAAATAGGTAACTAGGTGGAAGCAACTCCACCCTCTTGGATCTTGCAGACAAGTATTTCTGAACCGTTTTCTGTGCGTGTGTTCTAGAATGATGTTGATCATGTTACCATGTCACGGAAGTCTTTTCATGAAAACGTTTGTCCAGATGGTGTCTGTCTTCTGTTTGTTGGGCCCACACTTTAGGGCTGGTGTCTCCGCTGACTTCTAGGGCTTCAGCCCGCAGAGAGCTTGTCCTGACTCCTGTGCTACCTGGTTTCCTGTAAGGCTATGAGAGGGCAGGCCCTGGTGGAACACTGGAGAGCAGGAGAAAGAAGGAAACTGTGTCTTATTTCCTGCTTCTGGTGATGATCTGTGGCGGCAGCAGCAGCAACTGCAGGCAGCAGGGGTCCTGAGGGAGTTGTGGGCTTACAGTCAGTTTCAGCTGCATTTGTGGGGATGCAGGGCATCTAAGTTGCCGCATATCAGCATGGGAAAGTCACACAAGCAGCCCTGGGCGTGCGGTCTCCATCAGCTCAGCACTGAGGAGCATATGAGGCGCCACTGGTGACAACTCCTGGTCTGTGAGTGATAACACTCGGCTCCTTGCTGCATCAGCCTTCCCTCCAGCCCTTTGTGCCACCCTGTAACCACTTTTGTACATTAAATCTATTCTATTTAAAATAGGTTAAGTGTATATATGTGACTAGACATTGATATCCTATCAAATTAATTATACCACAATTAAAATCCAAATAGTGGTTATTTAGGTTGTGTTCAAATTTCTAAGTGATAAATTGTTTGACATTTTTAATAGCTTATGTACAAAGGATTCTCTTTTTATTGTATATATTTAAGGTATGCAACATATTTTTATATACATAGTGAAATTATTACTATTACTACAGTCAAGAAAATAAGCATGTCCATCTTTACTTTGTGTGTGTGTGTGTGTGTGTGTGTCTACATGTGCTAAGAGCACCTGAAACCTACTCTCTTGGCTACTTCCCAGTGTACAATACAATATTATTAGCTATAGTCATCAAGCTATACATTAGATCTCTAGACTTATTTATCCTACACAACTGCAACTTTTAACTCTTTGACCAACATTTCCGTATACTCTCCCCCGCCACCTTTCCCAGATAGCATTCTCTAAGTGTGTTTTTTCCTAAAGTGATTTGCAAGAAGATACAAAGTTTTCAAATTTCTTAATATCCATAAACTAAATTCCCTGTCCAAAAATGTTTTCAACTTGTGTTACAGCATCACAGCAATAAACTTTACATGTACCAGGACTGAATTCTATGCACTTTTCCGTCTTAGTCAATTTGATAGGTGCATCATTGTTCAATGTGCCTTTTTGATTACTAATGTTTACATGACTTTTGATGTGTTTAACTGTTGCTTTGTGAAATATCTGTCAAATCCTGTGCGCATTTTTTCTATTTCCACATGTGTATGTGCATATATATTTATATTTCATGTGTATATATTAATAATTTTTTCTACTTTATTAAATTTTATTGTATTTTAAGTCCTGGGATATATGTGCAGGATGTGTGGGTTTGTTGCATAGGCAAAAGTGTGCCATGGTGGTTTGCTGCACCCATCAACCCATCATCTAGGTTTTAACTCCCGCATGCATTAGGTATTTGTCCTAATGCTTTCCCTCCTCTTTCCCCCAACCCCCTACCTGGTTTTTATTTCTGTAGCTTATAAACAAATCTTGATGTTACTGAAGATGTGTTATCTTGTGTCATTATTTTATTTGCTTTTACAGTATTAAGCATTCCAGGCTGGGCACAGTGGCTTATATCTATAATCTTACTATTTGGGGAGGCTGAGGTGGGAGAATCACTTGAGTCCAGGAATTTGAGACCAGGCTGGGCAACATAACAAGACCCCATCTCTACAAAAAAAATTTAAAAATGTGTTGGGTGTGGTGGCGCATACTTGCAGTCCTTGCTACTCAGGAGACTGAGCTGAGGAGTTCTAGGCTGCCATGAGCTATAATCTCACCACTGCACTCCAGGCTGAGTGACAGAGCCAGACCCCATGTCAAAAAAAAATGCATTAAGCATTCTTTATGCTTTATTTTCCATCGTAAGCTACTTAAATCTTGGCTTTGTTTTTAAAAAATCACAATTTTGTGCTTTAATTCCATGTTATTATTGATAACTTATTTATAACTAAAAATAATATTTAACTTGTTTGGATTATTTTCTTTATTCTGGACCTTTCTGAGAATTTGTTTGGTATAAATGGGCTTAGGCAGAATTGCTGACTTCTAATTGATATGAAAATATAAATTTCCTAGACACCAGCAGATTGCTCTTCAAGATATCAACACCACGAAACCCTGTCTCTACTAAAAATACAAAAATTAGCTGGGCATGGTAGCATGAACCTGTAATCCTCGCTACTTGGGAAGCTGAGGCAGGAGAATCGCTTGAACCCAGAGGGCGGAGGTTGCAGTGAGCTAAGATTGTGCCACTGCACTCCAGCCTGGATGACAGAGTGAGACTTTCTCAAAATAAAAAAAAAAAAAAGAAAGATACCAACATCAGATCATGTTTTCAAATGTAGTTCCAAGCGTTCTTATTCATTCACATCTTTTGCACCATTTAGCATTATTCAGCTCCTGAAATGTTGCTAATTTATTGGATCTAAAGTAATATTTTATTTTGTTTAATTGCCCTTTCTCTGATTACAAATTAAACTGGGCATCTTAAGTAATTCTCTGATTAAGTAATTAATTCTCTGATTAAGTAATTATCTGATTACTAATTAAAATGGGCATCCTAAGATGTGTAGGAATACATTGAATATTTTAGGTTTTATTGGCTTATTTGTCTCTGAGATGCAAATTATCTTCTTTCAATTTGTATTAGTATGTTGTTTGCCCATGATGTCATTCACTAGATAAATATTATTAATTTTTATGTAATTAAATATATTTCATTAATCTTTTGCTGTTGAAGTTATGTGTCCCTTCCACTTTATGAGAAAGAGATTATTTTCTATTACGTTCAAGTAACTCTATAGCATTACGTTATGTATTTAAGTCTTAATCTGAAGTCTAGTTTCTATATATTTTTAAATAGAAATATAATTTTTTTCTTTAGTTGTTGAGCAAGTTTTTCCTACATCGAGTAATAGCATGTTTTGTTCTTTCAATATAAAATTTCTCCTTTATTAGATACTGTTTCATATATTGTAAGTTGACTTTTGAGAGCAATAGTGTCCCAACTGTTTCTCTATATTTGATTATAGAGATGTGTATATTACGATGTATCAGGATGATGTTATAAATATGACTTTATGTTATATAGCAATAGGTATTAGGAAAACTACTCATCTTTGTTCTTTACTTTTCAACATTTACTAAGTTATTTTGGACATTTATTATCTCTTAGTTAATTTATAATAAGGAATAATGTAGTAAGCTGTATTAGGTCTTTAAAATAAATATTTAGAAATTTGTATTGAGTGGAATTTACAAGGTTATATTGTGATCCCATCCTTGAATACAGAATGCCTACTTTTTCCAATATTCTAGTAAGTCTTTTATTACACTTTTAAATTGTATCTATTGAGGCAGATTTTTGCATTCTATGTTATATTAATTTTTATATATTATACACTTGTTTTTGTTATCAAGTACTCTATTATATGTTTCTCAAATCATTATCGCTGGCATAGAAAAAATGTTACATAATTTTATAGACTGGTCTTGATAAACTATCTTCTTGGTTTAATAGAGTATCTGTTAATTTAGTGTTTTTCTCTAAAAGACATTCATCAAAATTTTAAGCAATTGTGGTCATAGTGATCATTCCCATCTTAATTCTAATTGTAAAATAAATGTATCAATCTTTATGTAAACTTTGGTACCTTAAGTACATGCATGCACTGCATAAGAACATTTCTGTCCAGAATGGACCACATGTACGAAGTGGCCCCATAAGAATATAATGGAGCTGCCCTACACAGGTATACACATCATTTTATGTCATTTATACCATATTTTTCTTGTACCTTTTCTATGTTTAGGTATGTGTGTGTATATATATATATATATATATATATATATTTACAGTGGTTTTATAATTATGTACAATATTCAGTATAGGAACATTCTGCACAGGTTTGTAGCCTAGGAATACTAGGCCATACCATATAGCCTAGATGTGTAGTAGGCTATGTCATCTAGGTGTGTGTAAGTACATTCTATGATGCTCACACAATGACTTAATTATCTAACAATGCATTTCTCAAATATATCCCATTGTTAAGCATCACCGGACTTTATTTCCATTCTTTGTCTAGTGTTCTATGACTTATTATAATATATATATATATATAGAATATTACCAAGTTATTTTCATTTTATGCTAAGAAAGCCATATGAAATTCCTCTTTTTGCCTAGTACTATGATAATTTGCACTGATGGACATGGATCCTTAAAATTCAAATTTATGTTTTTGGCTCCTGATATATATCAAATAGTATGATATTATCTCTCAAAAGTGACATTTTAAATGTAGTATTTTGCTTATTGTTTTATGTCTAAATCTATTTTTACCTATTTTGGGTTTTGAGGCACTTTGATGTTTCTAAAGATTATAAAAATCTTCATCATTTTATGACCTGTCTCCTTAAAACTAGTCAGGTTTTTGTGACTGTTTGAGCCAATACAATATACTTTGTAACTTCCAAGACTAGGTTATAAAGATGAAGCAACTTCTGCTTCACTCACTAGAACAGCAATTCCTAAAACTTTTAGCGATCATGTAAAGTAGTCTTCCTAAACTTAGGCCACCACGTGGTGAAAATTTCCAAGCCACAGGAAGAAACTATAAATAGGTGCTTTGTCTTTCCCTTGTGTCTTCCCTTCTGTCTTCCCCTTGTGAGGTTGTTTCTCTCCTAACACATTTTTATGTCCTCATCTCTAAATTCTACTGATACCCTGAGTCATGACATTGAGTATCAGTGGACTTTAGAGAACATAGATAATTATATATAATCTAATATACATATACACATATATAATTCTACTACATATTAATATGTAATATTATATGTTTTATATGTATATATGTACATATCTACATTTACATACCCACATGGTAGCACATTGTTAGAACAATCGTCTTTAGCATGCATATGGGAAACAGGAGGTAATAGGAATACATTTGTTAAAGTTGAATAAAACCAAAATTTAAATTTACTCCAAATCTCCTTCTTTAGAGAATGCAATTTATTGGTTTCATTCTGTGATATAATATATATACATCCTATATATGTAATACCTAATATGTATTTGCACATATTTATATATGTAAGTACTTAAATACATAAATATTACATATATCTACATATACATATTACATATGTAAATATAGAGTATGTAAATATGTATATAAACATATGCAATATAGTTATATATGTAATGTTATGCATAATATTTTGCATATATAAGATGTGTGTGTATATATATATATTTCAGGATGTAACCAATAA
This sequence comes from Homo sapiens, assembly GCF_000001405.40. Taxonomy (NCBI): domain Eukaryota; kingdom Metazoa; phylum Chordata; class Mammalia; order Primates; family Hominidae; genus Homo; species Homo sapiens. Next base: position 188 of record NT_187518.1, on the reverse strand, counting down.
ATTGCATTCTCTAAAGAAGGAGATTTGGAGTAAAATTAAATTTTGGTTTTATTCAACTTCTAACAAATTTATTCCTATTGCCTCCTGTTTCTCATATACATGCTAAAGATGATTATTCTAACAAAGTGCCACTGTGTAGGTTGATGAGATAATGTGTAAGTTTGGAGAACCATGTTGGACTCACAGTG